>NC_000001.11:209851253-210002768 GCF_000001405.40 Homo sapiens
ATCCACACTTTTACAGTGAAATCTGTAATATGCTGAGAGCCACCAACAGAGGAGAAGAGGCCACGTGGACCTGCACTGTTCTCTACTCCAAATATGATGCCCAGAGGTTAGCTGCCGTGGTTGGTGTGGAGCGGGCGGCACAGATGCTACAGTCCAACAAGAATGTCCACCTCTTCATTACTGGAGAAAAATGAAATTTTGTTGGGCAGGAAGTGGTATTTGGCATGATACATAATGTTTGATTCTATGCCATTTGGACCCAATTCTGATTACTTACAGAAGAAGGACTGATACAAAGAAAGTGCATGAGGCAATGTCAGTATTATCTGACATCTTTCTTTTCAGGTCATGTGTCCCTGAAAAGTTAAATGTAAACCAGATTTTGGTAAATCCCATCTTTCAGAAGTGAAGAGGGGGCTAGAAGGACTCTGAGAAGTTGGTAGAAGAAAACTCCCACTTGTGAATATTTTTGTGAGACATAAATTCTTTTATTACGATTTACCTCTAATTTATTACACTTAGTAAATTCTTCCAGATTTTTCTATTTGTTTGACACTTCCTTAAAGTAAGGAATACACATTGCTTGCGAGAACTGGTTATGAGACATTGGAATACTTCTTGCTGCTACATGTCATCTTAATTTTGGATGGCATGGGTTTTGTAAAACTTATTCTGCCCCAGCCAAACTTTTTTGAAACCTTAAATAGTCTACCTTAATTCAGCCTAGAAGAGTACATTGATTTACTGATCTTTTTTCATATTCATAATACTAAATGTTTTAGTTTTGTTCAAATATATGCTTAAAATCACGTTATTTAAAAAACACATCAGCTCTGTCTCAAGAAGTAATTTTGTTGAAACTCCATGTTAAAATATCCATCTTCAACAGTAGTGTCTTCATAATAACTAGTCATTTTTTCAGTCATAAACAGATGCAAATAAAAAGGAAATTACACTTTTAAAAACATTTTTATTTTGAAACATTCTCAAACAGAAAAATTCCAAGTACAGAACCTGAACCATTTGAGAGTGAGTTGCCAACCCAGTGGGCCTATCACCTTTAAATACTTTAGTATATATTTCCTGTAAACAATTAAGGGTATTGTTTGTGATTAGGAATGCCCCACCAATAAGGATAATGTGAATATTTCAGAATCCAAAAAAATTCGAAACACGTCTGGTCCCAAGCATTTCAGATAAGAGATATTCAACTCATCCTAGTATGGACTCGTAGTTTCTTCTTTTATTCAATGGGTTACGGTTTGTTACATCATTATTTCTTTAGATGCGTAACTGGTCTCAAATATGGCCGCTGGGAGCACCTTCAGGTTAGCCCCTGTGTACTTTTGACATGTCCCCCATCTACTTGGGCACTGCTGTATTTTTTGACAATGAGACATTCCAGGTTTCTCTACTCCAGCCCTGCTTGCTTTTAGTAGGAAATTATTATAAAAGGTTAGATTGGAGTGCTTACTATTGTGGTGCCACTCATCCCAGGCTCAGTGGTCAGAACTTGGGAATTGTGTACATGTATGCACACACATATGTACACACGTTGTCTAAATTTGCTTCACATTAATATCTAAATTTACTTTCATATCCATATATTGAAAACCATGAATTCACACCAGTACCTCCAATTCTAGTCCAACAACACAGGATTGCTTCTCATTTTCTTTCCATATTGATAACTCCTTTCTCAGACAGTGGCTCCCATTATCCTCAATGTAATAACCCATGATTGGTACAGATTTTTTTTATCCTTGGGCACGCTTAAAATTACTTAGCAAAAACAAAAAGTAAAATCAGTTTTGAAGTAATATTTCTGCTAAATATTTAGACATTTTTACTTCTTTTTCTTCAGCATGGTAAGTAAAACCATTTATTCCATATTTAGATGGTTTTCTAAATTTCAGAAAATTTAGTTAGATAAAAGCCGACCGAACCCATGCTACAAAGAACTTTTTGTATCTATAGGCATGCCCTGTGGTTACTGGCGTAATTGTGCTGCTGTTTATCATAGATCCTGTATATTATGAGAATAAGAAATGAGTTTATTTACCTCATTCAGAAATGTGAGGCGAAGGGACTGTAATTACCTGGATCTTTTTTTTTTTTTTTGAGATGGAGTCTCGCTCTGTTGCCCAGGCTGGAGTACACTGGCATGATCTTGGCTTACTGCAATCTGTGCCTCCCGAGTTCAAGCGATTCTCGTGCCTCCGCCTCCCAAGTAGCTGGGACTACAGGCGCATGCCACCATGCACAGCTAATTTTTTATATTTTTAGTAGAGATGGGGTTTTGCCATGTTGGCCAGGCTGGTCTCAAACTCTTGACCTCAAGTGATCTGCCCACCTCAGCCTCCCAAAGTGCTGGGGTTACAGGCCTGAGCCGCCACGCCTGGCCAATTACCTACATCTTTTTCTACTGCCATATTCTTTTGCCTGTGAATTGTAGTTCATCTCGTGGTTTCCATTATTACTATTCACACGACTCCCAAATCTCCAGCTTCTCTGGCTCTCCACTCACATGTGAGTCTGGATTTCAAATCCATGATGTAGCCCCAGAAATAACCATTTTATTAAGCACCCCTAGTGATTTTCATGCTGGCATAGAGCCAAACCCAGCCAACTGCTTCTTGCCTGCAGAGAACACTGAGGATTTCAAGTGTGAACAAAGTAGTGTTGCTTTGTTCCTGGCTCAGCACCTGAAAAGAAGGTAAGCCTCTGCAGTTAGCCCTGGCTCCTTAGTGCATTGCAGAGTGGAGTCTCTGCAATGGTTTTATTAAAAGGATGCCTTGAAGATCTGGTCTCTCTCAACACACAATAAGCGAGAAGAGAGGCTACTGAAATACGGATGCGTGAGCTGGAATTACACACTACCTTGATGTTAACAAGGCTCATTTGCAGCAAGCAAGTGCCTATATAGGGTCTGAAATATAGACAAAGGATGGTCCCAATCCTGGAAACAGTGGAATTAAAAGGTATGGAAAGGAACTTACCCAGAAAGTAACACTTTTAAATGTTTTTTCTTTTCCCATAGTTAAAACAACCAGCTTAGCACTTTTCTTTTTGAGAGAGAAAAAGCTTTGAATCGTGGATGCTTCTCACAGCTGGCTGCACCACGTGCAGTGTTCAAAAAACAAGAACAAGCTAATCATAGAGAACCAGCAGCAGCTAAACAGCCCTCTGCTTGCTTCCAAAGGGCTTATAATTGAGCACAGATGGTCCTAGTGGAGATGGGGAATGTGTCCCTGCTGACTCCTCATACCCCAGAGGACCAAGGGGGGCTCATGAAGGCTCTCAGCCCTGATTGTGCCCTCGTGAGGGCAAGGAGCTATGCTGCTGAAGGAGGAAAGGGAAAGGCAGGTGGGGCCAGACCCTATTGGCCATCTGACCAGCCTTCCCAAGCCCACGTGAGCAGATCTAGGGTCTCAAGATTACAGAAGGCCTGGGGTGAGGGAGCAAGAGTTGGAAGTTCTTTATAGTTGTCTGAAGAGCCTCATTGTCCAACTGCAGGGGCCTGAGGTGCCCAAAGCTTCGTGGAAAAGTAATGTCAGTGGAATGCTCAGAAGTGGCTCTTTTCAGGGCACGGCTTCTGAGGAGCGTGGGGCCACCACAGCTAGCCCTCCCTCCGTCTAGCCATCCTCTCCTTCCAGTCCCTTTCCCATCTTTTCTCTCAAAGGAGCATGGTAGTGATCTTCATTACCAAATTTCTACTCCACACTTATTTTAAAAAGCTTTTCTGAAAGCCTGGCTACATAGAATTCTAAACAGATTTCAGTCAACTTTTAATTAGAGTCAATGAATGGGGAGTAAATACACAGATAATCCAAAATTGATGTAAGCATTGGAAGGGGAAAGAGGGAACGCTTCTTTCCCTCTGGGCTTGGTCATTTCCTCCCAAGCAAACCCCGCGACGTTCAGCCGTCTTCCTCCTATGCCACGTGCTCTCACCAGAACTGCAGCAAAACTGCATTTTATGTCCTGTGTCTAAAGCTAAACACATGTTCCTGTCTACTTTTGCTTTGTTCCTGTTTCCCTTCTGTGAGGACCTTCCCCTCCTCAGATGTGGGGAGTTGCCGCCTCCACTTGCATTACATGTATTTCAGAGTAGGTCCTAGGCTCCCCTTACACCTCTGGTCACGTTGCCATTATTCCTATGGTAGATAAAGGGGATGAGAAAGAACAGAGCTCCAGGCCTTTTTCAAACAAACTGGTTTTCTCAGTATAGCCCTATGCTCAAAAGGAGTGAGGACAGGTATGTGACTGCCATAAGGAGCTGTTTGCTTTGCACAGAGAAATCTAATCTTTCTCCTGCTGGGCAGCTCAGTACAGATGTCCCCTCACTGCTGGAAGAAACACCTGCCCTTGCTTGTTCTCCTGATGGCCCCTCACAGTCAGGTGTGGGATGGCACATTTCTAGGTGCTCCTCGCCGAGCTGTCATGGGCTTCAGTCTTGGGCCTCTGCAGCTGGCTGTGACCAGGTGGAAACTGTAGCCTTGGCTGACCCAGAGAAGGAAAGGAGGCAGTCTGCCGCTTGGCTGATTTAGGAGTTGTGCTGAATTCCTGCCCATCTGTTCTCCCAGCTGAGCCAAGGCCAAAGCTGTCTACCTTTTGCCAACCTAAGGAATGACACAGAGCATGGAGCACCATCACTGAAACATCTGCCCCAGTGCCCTGCCACCTTCGTCCTCACTGACCTCTGCAGCCTCTCTCATCTGCCAGTTTTGATTCCGCAAGGAGAGGTGGCCCTGGGCTCACAGCTGGTGTTTGTCCACAGATGTTCATGGGTTTCTTTGTGTTCTCTCATTTTTTCAAAGCTGGGTGTTGGGACCAACATCACCACTGACATTCTGTGGCTCTAAACAAGTCCTCACGACCACTTCTCAGTTTTCTCATCTTTATGAAGTATGGAGTAATCCCCACTAGCCTTATAGAGGGACTGTGTGAGAAGGGAAGAGACTGCTATTGTTTGCCCTATATCCACCTACTTCCCTAGTTCCAGAACGCTGGACTTTAATGAGATAACAAAGTACCTAGTAAAAACACTGCATCATTTTCCATCCCCCACCCCTTGCAGTAAAATGTGGCCCATGAGACAGAAGCACTAACTACTGAGCAGGACTTCTAGGGGAGTTCTTTAAAACTCAGAGGAGCACCACTTTTACCTTCTGCTCTTCCCTTTTTCCTGCCTGGAACGCAGAAGTGATGGCTGAAGCTCCTGAGGCTATAAGCTCTGTACGTAGGAGAGTGGTGAAGAAAGGAGCTTGGTTCTGCAAGGATGTTGTAGAGCTGCCATACCAGTCCTGCATGGTATTCCTGTGCACTACTGTTACGTGAACACACAAACACCTAATTTGTTTAAGCCATTAGGCCAGGCCTCTATTAGCCATTCCTGACTGATACAGAAGACAAAAATGGCATCACAGACTCCTGAACTCCAAAGACACTGCCTATTCTTTCGTCTGTTCTTGGCAAGCACCAACATTGAGACTGTACTTCAGGGTTGATGCTGGCCATTTGGTGGCGTGAGGAGTGGGCACTCACATGTCTCTGCTAGCAGTTCTGACGTGTCCATTCCACACTGGATCCATAGAACGAGGGAACACAAGTGTCTTCTCATAAGATTTATAGAAACAGTGATCGTTGCAGAAAAATAATTAGCAAGAGAACAGACTTCAGCTCTCTGAAGGCTGATGACCACCTGTTTCTCATCTCTTCTAGTGTATGTCAAAGCTAAATTAGGTCAAATAGGAAATAAGTCAGAATCCCCAATTCGATAGAAACTTACAGGTCTTGTGATCTAATCTGCCACTTGATCCGTGAATTACCTATAGGTCATCCCTAAGAGGTGGCCTCCAGCTTCTGCTTGAATTCCTTCAAGGATGGGGTGCTCATTGTGGCTTTTCTAATCATCTCTGATTGTTAGAAACACTGTGAAACTTTTATCCATCAGTCCTGTTTCTGAAGCTGTACGGTACAAATTTTTTTTTTCCCCACTTAAGGCTCAACTATTGGAATACATCTACCATGTCTCCTATGAAACTTGCTTCTCCAGGCCAATCATCCTTACTTCCTTAAACTTTTTTTTTTCCTGAAAAGTTATTCTTTTAATCTTATTAAAAAAGCAACCCATGCCCATTCCACAAATACAAGTGAAATAGTGAAAAACAAAAATCAAACTACATCTATTTGGTGATCATTATTAATGTCTTATGTTTCCTCCCAGATTGTTTTCTGCATGAATAATAACCAACAATGTGTGTGTATGTATATATATGCTTTTGCATTAAAAGGTGGTTTTGAAGGTAACATTTTTTGGAGTACTGATTAAGCGCCAGCAACTCTTCCAAGCTCTTTGCATGTATTACATCAGTTAATCCCTCACACCCGTTTAAGGTAAGCATCCTTATTTTTCCCGATTTCCACACAGGCAGCACAATCCTGAAAACCTACACTGTTTTTACTAGATAATTACTTCTCTAAAAACAAAACAATAAAAGCACTCAATAAATAGTAGTTATTATTACCCTTTTTAATGAAGCAATCCTAATTGTTGAACTCTTAAAAGGACTAAGGGATGGCTCACACCTGTAAATCCAGTGTGTCCGGAATTGGTAGGTTCTTGGTCTCACTAACTTCAAGAATAAAGCCGCGGACCCTCGCCGTGAGTGTCACAGGTCTTAAAGGCTGCGTGTCTAGAGTCTGTTCCTTCTGAAGTTCGGATGCGTTTGGACTTTCTTCCTTCTGGTGGGTTCCTGGTCTCACTGGCTTCAAGAGTGAAGCTGCAGACCTTCGCGGTGTTACAGCTCACAAAAGCAGCATGCACCCAAAGAAGTGAAGAACAAAGATTCCACACCAGGACAGAGTACGAGGAGATGCCACTGCTGGCTCCAGCAGCCTGCTTTTATTCTCTTATCTGGCCCCACCCACATCCTGCTGATTGGTCCATTTTACAGAGAGCCGATTGGTCTGTTTTACAAAGAGCTGATTGGTCCGTTTTGACAGGGTGTTGATTGGTGCGTTTACAATCCCTAAGCTAGACACAGAAGTTCTCCAAGTCCCCACTAGATTAGCTAGATACGGAGTGCTGATTGGTGTATTCACAATCCCTTAGCTAGACATAAAGAGTCTCCAAGTCCCCATCAGATTAGCTAGATACAGAGTGCCCATTAGTGCATCCACAAACCCTGAGGTAGACACAGGGTGCTGATTGGTGTGTTCACAAACCTTGAGCTAGATACAGAGTGCTGATTGGTGTATTTACAATCCCTTAGCTAGACATAAAGGTTCTCCAAGTTCCCCACTAGACTCAGGAGCCCAGCTGGCTTCACCTAGTGGATACCGCAGCGGGGCCGCAGGTGGAGCTGCCTGCCAGTCCTGCAGCGTGTGCCTGCACTCCTCAGCCCTTGGGCAGTAGATGGGACCAGGCGCCCTGGAGCAGGGGCCGGAGCTCCTCGGGGAGGCTTGGGCAGCGCAGGAGCCCACGGCGGGGGTGGGGGAGGCGGCTCAGGCATGGCCAGCTGTAAGTTCCGAGTCCTGCCCCGCGAGGAGGCAGCTGAGGCCCAAGAATTTGAGCGCAGCGCCAGCGGGCCGGCACTGCTGGGGGACCCAGGGCACCCTCCGCAGCTCCTGGCCTGGGTGCTAAGCCCCTCACTGCCCGGGGCGGCGGCGCCAGCCGGCCGCTGCAAGTGCGGGGCCAGCTGAGCCCACGCCCACCCGGAACTCGCGCTGGCCCGCAAGTGCGGCACGCAGCCCCGGTTCCCGCCCGCGCCGCTCCCTCCACACCTCCCGGCAAGCTGAGCGAGCCAGCTCCGGCCTCAGCCAGCCCAGAAAGGAGCTCCCACAGTGCAGCGGTGGGCTGAAGGGCTCCTCAAGCGCGGCCAGAGTGGGCGCCAAGGCCGAGGAGGCGCCCAGAGTGAGTAAGGGCTGCGAGGGCTGCCAGCACGCTCTCACCTCTCACCCAGGACTTTGGAGGCTGAGGTGGGTGGATTCCTTGAGGTCAGGAGTTCAAGACCAGCCTGGCCAACATGGCAAAACCCCATCTCTACTAAAAATACTGAAATTAGCTGGGTGTGGTGGTGGGCGCCTGTAATTCCAGCTTCTTGGTTGGTTGAAGCACAAGAATCTTTTGAACCCGGGAGGCAGAGGTTGCAGTGAGCCAAGAAGACCATGCCACTGCACTCCAGCCTGAGCAACAGAGGAAGACTGTGTCTCAAAAAAAAAAAAAAAAAAAAAAAGGACTAAGGGAGATGATAATATTTTCTTGGGGAGGGTTGTTATAAACATTAATTGAGTTGTTTGTGTGCCATCCTTCTGGATGCCAAGTCTCTGTCGCCCAGGTTGGAGTGCAGTGGTGCGATCTCGGCTCACTGCAAGCTCTGCCTCCCAGGTTCAGGCCATTCTCCTGCCTTGGCCTCCCGAGTAGCTGGGACTACAGGCGCCCGCCACCACGCCCGGCTAATTTTTTTTTTTTTGTATTTTTAGTAGAGACGGGGTTTCACCGTGTTAGCCAGGATGGTCTCAATCTCCTGACCTCGTGATCCTCCCGCCTCGGCCTCCCAAAGTGCTGCGATTACTTACAGGCGTGAGCCACCGCGCGCGGCCACCACCAAGTGACATTCTGAAGGAGAATTCAAGCAACCTGAAAAGCATAACGTCTCATATGTCAGGATCATTTAAGGCATATTTTTCACTCCTTTGCTGCCCCGTTTATCCTTGGTCCATTGAGGTTTGCCCAGAGAGATTAAATTCTTAGTGTCAGTACAAATAAAAATTAATTTTTTTTTCTTGAAACACACGCATGCACAGAGAAGCAGCATAAGAATGCGTGAGTACTGAAGCCAAGCTGCCTAGGTTCAAATCTTTGCTTTAATATTTTCTAGCTGCGTAACTTTTGGCAAATTCCTTAAACTCTCTGTACCTCAGTTGCTATCTGTAAAATGGGGATGGTCATCATAATACCTGTCTTCAGAGTTACAATAACTAAGTTACTTAATCCATGCAGGGCACTTAGAACAAGACCAGACCTTCTTTTCCACGTTACAAAGATTAGTAAAATTTTAGAAAATTAACTGTTATTTTGTATTATTCTTACTTATATGCCTCATACTCTTCAAAGGAAAGAAAAGAGATTTTGAGAGAGAATGGTTCAGAAAAACAGCTGTAGGGATCTTTTTTACTTAGCAAATTCCAACTCTTAGGGGTGAGGGCGCTTATGCGTTAGGAACACCAGGTGGCGCTGTAAACAAGTACAGTAAGGAGATCTGCACCTCCCCTCGGGTGCCGGCCTTGGGCTGTGGGGCTTGTGCCTGGCAGCTCTCAGAGCTGGAGAAGACAGAGACCTAGGCCTCTTTTTTTTATTTTATTTTATTTAACAATTTAAATACATAGGAAATTAAGAAATTCAAAGAGTTACAAACAACTGTGATAGAATTTGTTTATAAGTTAACACATTAAAATGATTTCATAATCGTGTATTTATTTCAGGAAATAATTTTATGGAATAGTGAACATTACCTTTTAAGAAATGGAAAATCTCCAATAGGTTCTATGGCATATTTAAACTCACAACTAATTTCTTAAAAACTAACTTAACAAACTCTAAATGATAATAACTGTGAGTAGCTTCATTTGGTTATTCATAACCCAATTCACAACCAAATTTACATATATGAGGCCCAAGCCCAACAGCCCCCTGGCTCCCCATCACCACACTCTGGCTACACCTTTCTGCAGAGAAGAGATTGACCATAATCCCTTTAGAATTGTGGTTTCTTGTCTAACCTTTTTCCAGAGGGGTTAGAGTTTTTCTCAGAGACGGGGAGATTTTCTCTACTGGGTACTTCCCTAACTTCTTTTCCATCCACTGCCCCCAGGCCTAGGTTGTCACTTCCTTCCTTCTTGAGACTATCCACTCCCGTACCTAGGCCAGGGTGGATGTCCTCACACTTGCCCTTTGGTCCTCCTCTTGGGAACAGTACTTCCCATGCCAAAAGACATCAGGAAATCATGGGGAAAGATAGGTGAATTAATATTTATGGAACACCTACTGTGGGCCAGGCACTGTTGTGGGTGCTTGATGTACATCAGTCATCTCACAACAACCCTTAAAAGCCAGCTGATTGCTTATCACCATATAGCAGGGGAAAAACATGCTTAGAGAAATTGGGCAGGTCTCCCAAAGTTAAACAACTGGCTAGTGGCCAATGCCACATGTTTTTTTCTGAATCCCCATGTGATTGAATCCAGTGGAGAGGGAGGTCAGGACCAGCCACTCAGATGGAGATGAGTCTGCAAGGGAATTTCTCCCTTTCCATCTGTGTCCGAGTCTTGTCAGTTTTATCAACCCACTGCCTCAAACGTGAGCTCACCTCTCTAACTTCCTTCCCACAGCTTTGCTTAGTTCAGACCTTCATTAGTCTTCATGGCATAATCTACACTTTACAAACTGATAAACTAGGCTTTTAATCTCAGCTTTACCTTTTACTCCCAGTAAGTTACCTTTGCTTACCTCAGTTTCCTTATTTGTAAGGTAGAGATGATTATGTCTTTCTTGAGTGGTATTGTAAGGATGAAATGAAACCACATACATTAGAAAAGAAAAAGAGTCTCCTTCTCTCCCTTTTCCTTGGTCTGAGCATTGATTTATCCATTCTGTGAATATGTACTGAGCACCCACGATGTGCTAGAAATTATTTTAGGCACTTAGGACACAGCAATGAATGAGGCACACATATTTCCTGCACTCATAGAGTTAGAGTGCATAGTGTAGACAGAAAAGAAAGAATTAGAGGCTAGATAAAAGTACAATTTCAGATGGTGCTAAATGTTGGAAGAGAATAAAACAGGGTCAGGTAATAGAGATCTTTGACCATCCTGTTTCCTTTGTCCAGAATGCCCAATCACTACTCCTCCCCTGCTGAACTTCTCCTCTCTCAAGGCCCCCTTCAAATGATAATCTCTGTGAAATCATCACAGCTCGCTATGAACTTTAATCGTGCCCTCCTCTAGACTTTCCCACTGGTTGTCTAAATCCACCTGCGAGGCTGAGGACATTCACTCATATCTTACTCATTGTTTCATTCTGCACACCTTTGTCCCACCCTCAAGCAAAGCTCCACGAATATACTGAAGAGGAAAACTGACACTGTAACCCCAAAGAACTACCTGATACCTTGGTTTGCGAGTGGCAAATCCGAGAGTGAGGAGAAAGGGGACAGGCATCCTGGTACCTCCAGATGGGGACAAAGGAACAAACTTCCAAACAAAATGAACCATTCCCCTGGGATGTGTATGTGTTTGTGTGTGCACACACCCATGTGCTCATGACTGTGTGTGGTGTGTGTGCCTGTCTGTCATAGAGGCAGGGATGAAGACTGATAGGCGGGAAAATCTAAATCTAGCAGGAGGGATACTAGTTCTTTTGTTTGTTTTTTTCCTAAAAGGCTTTAGAAGCCTTCCTGCAAAAGGCTGGATTTCTGGGAGCCACTTAAATGAAGGCATTTTGCATATGAAGGACATGCAGAGTCTGAGTATGGTCACCCGCCCCTCACTGCCCGCAGTGAGCCGTCAGCCACCCGCATCACCCCAGCTCCAGCACCACAGTAGCAGACTGATCCTTTTTAATGAGATGCTCAGAGTCTGAGCACTCCTCCTCTCTGGGGTCCTAATCATTTCTCAGAAAGTGGCTGCCCTGCACCCTGGAATTCACGTTTTTTGTTTCCCTTTCCACCTCCAGCCACAGGGTGAGGAGGTGTCAACAGGAGGCGAATGGCTGTGGAACACCTGTCACAGAGTTCTTCCCATCCCCTGTGGGTGGGCAGGGAGATATCCCGGTTTTGTTCTATCTGTTATGAAACCTGCGGAGAAAGCTAAATCTGGCTGTACTGACTTAACTCCCGGGTCGAAAAAAGCTGCTTGAGAGTCTTGGGCACGGAAAGGAATCGAAGCCAGCAGCCATCATCTGTAGAGCTGTGTTTGTTCCCCACAGGAACCTGAACTCAGAGGAAATGCCAGCTGAGTTCTTCTTGCCCCATCTGTGACAGAATTCCAGCTGTTCCACGATAGCAATCTGGCTTGGAGAGTGTAGTGGCTTCCCTACACTCCATCAAAACAAAGCAGGGTGACTTGTGAAGATACTAATTTTGGCTCCATTTTTATTGCTCTAAATGTTTCTGCAAATTGCTACCAAAAAGTTAACCAGGTCTTGTGTTCTTTGCCTTGGGGAGCTTTGGGAGAAGGGTGAACAGCATTTTCCAGGCCAAGAGAACTTTGTTGGCGTGTCATGTAATTAGAGGACATTGAAGCTAGGGTGGAGGAGGGGGAGACAGAAGCAGCCAAAGGAAAAGAGTTTTGAGGCTTCTCCTAGAACAGGAGGGAAGGGTATTGCAAAGACCTTCCTGTCCAAGCATGGCACAAAAGCCATGACATTGCTCCCTTTAAGCACTCATAGAAGTTTGGAAAATAAACAGATAAACAGGTTAATGGCAGCGAATCCATAATGGTCTGCAGCAACCTCAATTCTTGCCTCCTCAGAAGAAAGAATTCAGCTGAGGGGCATAAAGCAGAAAAGGAGACCAAGCCAAGTTTTAGAGCAGGAGTGAAAGTTTATTAAAAAGCTTTACAGCAGGAATGAAAGGAAGGAAAGTACGCTTGGAAGAGGGCCAAGAAGGTGACTTGAGAGATCAAGTGTGCAGTTTTGACCTTTTGACTTGGGGTTTTAGACGCTGGCATACTTCTGGGGCTTTGTGTCCCTTATCCCCTGATTCTTCCCTTGGGGTGGGCTGTCCACATGCACAGTGGCCTGCTAGTGCTGGGGCGGGGAGCACGCACAGTGTGTTTACTGGAATTGTACACATGTTCACTTGAGACATTCTTCCCTTGCCAGTCAAATGTCTCTAAAGGTCATATACCAGTTAAGCTTTGCCATTTTGCCTTGTAATGTGCATACTTGAGCCCACTTACCCAGCTCCTGGGATCAGGAAGCTGCTGATCACCAGTTTCAGGTGTTTCTGTTTATTGGGAGAAAGCCTTCCCCTGGCTCTGGCTGAAACCAATTATTATTTTAACAAGACAGTTTAACAGTCACCTGACCATCACCTGATCATTGCCTAACATTCCTGGTGTGTGTGTGGGTGGTGGGGGTGGGGGTGGAGGGGTGCCTATCCTGCCTTGCTCATGTCTGACTAGCAGACATGAGCTACCTGCTTTTTGCTACCTACTGTAACAAAAAGAGACCAGAGAAACTGAAGGCCAGGTCAGAAGGCCTTCCCTAAATGCTGTAGCCTCTATAAGACCTCCAGGATTTTTGCACAAATCTGAAATGGGGAGCCTCAAGTATGACTGAAATTGACTTTCTGGTCAATCAGGAGGGATGAGGTTTGGAGCAGATTACAGCTGTTTTAAAGAAATAAATGAGGCCAGGCATGGTGACTCATGCCTGTAATCCCAGCACTTTGGGAGGCCGAGGTGGGTGGATCACCTGAGGTCAGGAATTCGAGGCCAGCCTGGCCAACATGGTGAAACCCCATCTCTACTAAAAATACAAAAATTAGCTGGGCATGGTGGTGGGCACCTGTAATCCCAGCTACTCAGGAGGCTGAGACAGGAGAATCGCTTGAACCCAGGAGGTGGAAACTGCAGTGAGCGGAGATCGTGCCACTGTACTTCAGCCTGGGCAACAAAGGGTGAAACTCCATCAAAAAAAAAAAAAAAAAAGAAGAAGAAAGAAAAGAAAGAAAAAGAGAAAAGGTGATACTCCTTATACTCCTAAGTTTTATAAACAGAATATATACTTGGAACAAAACAGCAAAGCATCCCAAATGCTCTTCTTATGAGTAAACAATAGGGCAGAGGCGGGAAGCAAAACCCTAATTCAAGGGACTTTGCTCTCAACCTTGTAAAGCCACGAGTTGCAGGAGAAAGGTGGGCAACTAACATCCTGCAAGGAGTAGTGTGTTAGTTTGCTAGGGTTGCCATAACAATGTACTACAGACTGAGTGGCTTCAAAAACTAAAATTTGGCTGGGCACGGTGGCTCATGCCTGTAATCCCAGCACTTTGGGAGGCCGAGGCAGGAGGATCACTTGAGCCTAGGAGTTTGAGACCAGCCTGGACAACATAGTGAGATCCTGTCTCTCCAAAAAATAATTTTATAAAATTAGTTGGGCATGGTGACACATGCCTGTAGTCCCAGGTATGTGGGAGGCTGAGGCAGGAGGATTGCTGAACCTGGGAGATCAAAGCTGCAGTGAGCCTGGGAGACGGAGGCTGTACTCCAGACTGGTTGACAGAGTGAGACCCTGTCTCAAAAAACAATAAATAAGTAAATAACCAAAACTGATTTTTAATTCTGGAGGCTAAAAGTCGAAGATCAAGGTGTTAGCTGGGGTGGTTTCTTCTGAGACCTGCCTGTGTCTTCACATGGTCTTCCCTCTGTCTGTCTGTCTTTGTCCTTCTCTTCTTATAAGGATGCATATCAGATTGGATTAGGGCCCACCCTAATAACCTCCTTTTACCTTAATTACCTTTTTTTAAAAAATAATTTTTTTTTCTATACTGAATCTCACTCTGTTGCCTAGGCTGGAGTGCAATGGTGTGATCTCAGCTCACTGCAACCTCCTCCTCCCGGGATCAAGGGATTCTCCTGCCTCAGTCTCCCAAGTAGCTGGGATTACAGGTGCCTGCCACCATGCTCGGCTAATTTTTGTATTTTTAGTAGAGACGGGGATTTCACCATGTTGCCCAGGCTGGTCTTGAACTCCTGACCTCAGGTGATCCACCTGCCTTGGCCTCCCAAAGTTCTGGGATTACAGGCATAAGCCACCACGCCTGGCCCACTTTAATTACCTTTTTAAAGACTCAATCTCCAAATACAGTCACATTCTGAACTACTGGGGGTTAGGATCTCAAGATAGGGATTTTGGGGAAACACAATTCAGCCCATAACATGTATTCAGGTCCCCTTTCTGCCCAGACTTTAATGCAAATATAGATTCACCAGTCTGTCCAAAAAAAAGGCCACTGAGAAAGGAGGCCACACTTCCAGGAGGAAATTACATCGGGGAGGAATAAATACAAGCCTGTGGAGGTGTGGTTACTAGAAGGGGAAGCTGAAAATCTGTTTCTTATCTGCCTACACTCTTGGTACTTCCTCCATGTGGGCTGCAAAAGTGTGGTACCCCACACTTCAGCCCTATTTGTTTCCTTCCACCCACTCCCACCCTCTGTGTATAGCCTGGGGAAAGCATTCTGATGTTTTAGTTTTCTTTCTCCAGCCAGTCTAGGATAAAGTCTGTAGGGCATCTTTGCAGAAGCCTGCAAATATTTTGCTACAGAAAAGTGTTGCGGGAAGTCAGGGACCCCCGAATGGAGGGACCAGCTGGAGCCGTGGCAGAGGAACATAAATTGTGAAGATTTCATTTTAATATGGACATTTATCAGTTCCCCAAATTAATACTTTTATAATTATTTCTTATGCCTGTCTTTAATCTCTTAATCCTGTTATCTTCGTAAGCTGAGGATGTATGTCACCTCAGGACCACTATTGTGTTAACTGTACAAATTGACTGTAGAACATGTGTGTTTGAACAATATGAAATCAGTGCACCTTGAAAATGAACAGAATAACAGCAATTGTAGGGAACAAGGGAAGGCAACCATAAGGTCTGACTGCCTGCAGGGTCAGGCAGAATACAGCCATATTTTTCTTCTTGCAGAGACCCTATAAATGGATGTGCAAGTAGGGAAGATATTGCTGAATTATTTTCCCAGCAAGGAATATTAATAATTAATTCCCTGGGGAAGGAATGCATTCCTGGTGGGAGGTCTATAAACAGCTGCTCTGGGAGTGTCTGTCTTATGCGGTTGAGATAAGGACTGAAATACGCCCTGGTCTCCTGCAGTACTCAGGCTTATTAGGATGGGGGAAAAAACTGCTCCCTGGTAAATCTGAGGTCAGACCAGTTCTCTGCTCTCGAGCCCTGTTTTCTGTTGTTTAAGATGTTTATCAAGACAATATGTGCACAGCTGAACATAGACCCTTATCAGGAGTTTTTTATTTTGTCTGTGCCTCGTGATCTTTGCTTTGCCCTTTGCCTCGTGATCTTTATTGGCCTCAGAAGCATGTGATCTTTGTTCTCCTTTTTGCCCTTTGAAGCATGTGATCTTTGTGACCTACTCCCTGTTCATACACCCCCTCCCCTTTTAAAGTCCTCAATAAAAACCTGTTGGTTTTGTGGCTCAGGTGGGCATCATGGACCTACCGATATGTGATGTCACCCCCAGCGGCCCAGCTGTAAAATTCCTCTCTTTGTACTCTTTCTATTTCTCAGACCAGCTGACACTTGGAGAAAATAGAAAGAACCTACGTTGAAATATTGGGGGTGAGTTCCCCCGATAGAAAAGTACCCAAACCTCTTAGTAAGCAAACCTCTTAGTTAAGAACCTACCTTATTGGACCAATTGGTGGGAAAAGCATGGCCGTAGAAGATTGGCACTAAGGTGGGGCTGTTAAGATGTGACAAAACAAACGAAGGCTAAGCTGGTGCACATAATAATAACAGCTTCTGCTCCAGGAGACATCTGTGGGCTCCTCAATGGCTCTTCGAGCTCTCGGACGGGTCCAGCCAAGAGAAGCCCCAGCAAATGATGTCTGATCATGTGGAGGCCTTGGTTCTCAGGGTCTCCCTGCTGGGCTGCAGGTGGGTGGTGGCTGCTGTCTCTATGAAAGCCACAGCTCCTGCTGGGCCACCCTCTCTACTACAGCCCAGCCTCTGGATTCCTCCCCTTGCCCTGGGACACTCCAGCATCTCTTGTTCATTTCCCCTGACCCTGCCCACACCTCTGTGAATAGATACTTCATTAATCTCTCCTTAATAACTCACATCAATGTGCCATCTGTTTCCTCTCAGGTCCCTGAGCTTTTCTGTGTGCTAGGCACTGTTATAAATATAAATATACATTTCCTTTTTTTTAAAAAAACAGTTTGTTAAGATATAATTCACATACCATACAATGTACCCACATAAAGGGTACGATCAATGGCTTTCAGAGTATTCGCAGATATGTACAAACAATACCACAGTTAATTTTAGAACATTTTCATCACCTCAAAAAGAAACCCCATGTCCCTTAGCTACTACCCTCCTCTTCCCCACACCCCACCCCTCAGTCCTGAGCAACCGCTCACCTACTTTCTGTAGGTTTCTCTCTTTCTTTTTCACATGAATAGAATGCTATAGTATGTGATCTGTTACAACTGGCTTCTTTTACATAGCACAATGCTTTCAGGATTCTTCCATGTTATTATAGCTTATGTTGGCACTTTGGTCTTTTTTGTAGTTGAACATATTCCACTGTATGAATTTAACACATTTCATGTATCCATTTGTCAGTTGATGGACGTTGGGTTGTTTCCACCTTTTGGCTATAATAAATAATGCTGCTATAAACGTTCAGGCACAAGTTTTTGTGTGGACGTTGTTTTCATTTCTCTTTGGTATACAACTAAGAGTGGATCGCTGAGTTCTATAGTAACTCTATGTTGAACTATTTGAGAACTTGCCAAACTGTTTTTCAAAGCAGCTGCACCATTTTACATTTCCATCAGCCATCTATAAGGGTTCTGATTTCTTCACATTCTCACCAACGCTTGTTGTTATCTGAATTTTTTATTCTGGCCATCTTCGTGGTGGTGGTATCTCATCGTGATTTTGATTTCTATTTCCCTGTTAACTAATGGTGGCAAGCATCTT
Organism: Homo sapiens; assembly: GCF_000001405.40. NCBI lineage: Eukaryota > Metazoa > Chordata > Mammalia > Primates > Hominidae > Homo > Homo sapiens. The sequence goes on from NC_000001.11 coordinate 209,869,009, forward strand.
TTAATGAGCGTATTGGCAATATCTATCTCCTTTTATTCTCACAACTACTTTATGAGATAGGTGGGCTATTAAATCCATTTTACAGATGAGAAGAATGAGGCATGGAGAGTTGAAGTGACTTACCTAAGGTATACAGCGAGTAAGCGTTAGACTAGGATAGGAACTCTAGCAGGCAACCTTCATGCTCCTGTTAGAACACACTGCCTTTGCACAAAAGAACAAGAAGATTTGGGGGATGGCAGGGCAAGAAGGCAGGGTAGCCAAAGAACTTTTAAGAAGAGGAATATCTGCTGTGCCATTTAAAATAGCTCATGTTGCTGCATAGAAATCTCCTTCATTTCCATGTGTGAATGGTTATTTTGTGGAAAGCAAGGAAAGAGGGCCAAGTTCTTTCATGTTTGGGTTAAAGCCAGAGTGAAAATAAAGAACAGCCACAAGCAATAGGGCAGGGATCAAGAACTCAGCTGGGGCAGAAAGCTGGAGCCAGAGCTAATAAGATCATATAGATCCCTTAATAATTCACAGAAATATGGGAGAGGGCTGTAGCTTTCCACAGTCCAGACAGTTCAAACAAACCTTATCTGGATCTGAAGGGCCTGGGAGAGCCTCAGCTGGGTTTCATTTATAAAGTACTTTAGCACAAGTATGGTCATCCCCTCCCCAGTTCACCCCCACCCCGAAGTTCTTAGCCTTGTATCCAAATGAACATGTGGGCACTAAAGCCTGCTCTTTCCTCCTTCTATCTTTGTATTAACACTAAACAAACTGGCCTTTGTTTCTGACCTTGAAGAGACAGTAAAATCAACATCATTCTCCAAAATATCCCTCAAAGATGGGCCTATAAGAATTCAGAGAGTTTAGAGAATCGCTGCTTAGAAGCTTTCTCCCCTCAAACTCATCCCAGGAATCTTCTCCCTTTTACTCCCACTCCCACCCTCAACACACCCCCCACCCACACACACACACACAAACTTCCCAATTCACTGCTAGACTGCTTGATGGTTCTCTCTGGTGAGAGAAGCCAGGGTAACAAGGAGGAGGGAATGAGTCTGCAAATCAGGTATATTTTTGAATTTCAATTCTGTATCCCCAGCATCTGTCTGCTGTTTTATCAAGAGGACCAGAGATCATTTAGGAATGATGGACAGTCCTCTGAGGAAGCAATGCCAGAAGCATGATGAGCAGAAATGCTGAACAAGATGCTGGCTGGAAGGGAAATCAATCTCCCAGGCCGATTAGTTTGGGTGGGAGCCAACAGAGGCTGAAACTTGTTACAGCTACAGTCATCTTTCTTGCTACTTTTTTTTTCTTCTAGATCCTGGAGTAAAATCAGATTAGCCTTAGCGCTCAAGGTAGCTAACTGGTCTGCACATGCCATGGCAATGTCTCAAAACAGATGACTATTATTAAAAAATTATGGAGAAATGACATGATGCATCTCTCCATTTGGTCTGTAAGATACTTAAGGACAGGGGCTATGACCTTTCTTCTATGATTTATGGAGTAACTAGCACAATGCTGGGCCCAAAAGGTCACTAAACAACTTGCTGAAGGGAATAGGCTTAAAGTAGACACGAAAGGAACTTTCTTTTTTAAAAAAATAAAACAAAGAGACTTTGTCTAATCTCCCAGCTAAGAAATGAAAGCCAGATGAGTCCAATTCATTATGATGCATAGAGAATAAGATGGATAATTATAAACAGAGAAGCCCACAGAGAAGTTTGGAGAAGGGGGTTGCTATTCAATGTTAAAAACATGATTCTCATACAGATATAGTCGAAGATTGATCTAACTTATTAGTGAGGGAACCAGTAGGAAGACAAATCCAAATCAAAGGAGAATACAAGAGGCTGTTTTCTATGATCATTGAAAGTAAGGATGTAGAAGTGGGTTTGCAAAGCTAGGCAAAACTGTTTAATGTCCTACACAGCAGCAAGATCAGACCCTTTGGGGTTATGTTTTCTATTTGACAGAATTCTTTTGCCTTTCTACTGAACAAGAGTCATTTGCAATGTAGCTATCTTTTCAAGTTAACATCTCATTTTACAGAGTCTGGCCCCTAATCATGAGTAATTGGAACCAGAGAAATGCTCTCTCTCTTTTTAAAAAAATCCTGGGCTGGTATAGCAGGTGACAGTAGCAGTTAGAAGTGTTAATCCTCTTATCTGCCTCTGTGAGTTTAGATGGAAAAGTCAGGGAAGGAAAAGTAGGCAGAGTATGCAATGTGCCTAGCGTCACTCTTGGTAAGCTACCACTTGCCTATAAATAAAAACCACAATGCATGATCACCCATAAACCCAGAAAATGGTTTTCAGAGTGATCTAATCCAACCTGCAATCCCTGGCTTCTTTTCCTCCCCTGACATTTCCATCCACATTCTTTAGGTGGAAGGTAGAAATAACCACCTATCTGAAGTGAATAGACTTACCTCTCCTTGTCTGACAGCTTAAGTCCTAGACTTATGAGCGAGACTTTCCTATTAGGAAGAGAATTAAATCATTGTTAAACAAGTGTTTGTTTTCTTTTGCTTTTTCCTTCACAGGCCAGAAGCCATTTCTCTGGATCCCACTCAAGTTTAGGTGGTTGTGCCAATAGCATCAACTGCATGGGCTGTGTTTATAGACAAGTGGTATCTGACAGTAAGGGAATTGCTTGTTGAATGACTTGGAGGATCTCCCTGCCCTATTGAACCAGGATTAATAAACTCAGCGATGGAGCTTTGGAGGCTTTGCTGTCCACCTCAGGGGATATGGCTTGGGAAGAACTCAAATTCACCTCTATGATATTCTAACACTGGCAGAGGCAAATGAGAGGATTAACACTTGTAACTGTTACTGTCACTTGCTGTACTAGCCTAGGATTTTTAAAAAAGAGAGTATTTATCTGGTTCAGCCCCATTTGCTGCTATGAACCCTCCCAGCCCCTGCCTTTTCTTCCCTGCTGGTTCTAGGGCACCCCAAGGAGCACTCCACATGGGCACATAGCACAATCCTCTGGTACGTAACACCAGTAACCATCATTTCTCTCTAGTTCTGCCCTGAATTCCTGTGCTGAGTTTCATTCCAGAGATCACATACTCCTGTGCAGCTACCTGGACACCACCAGAGCACAGACACCACCATTCATGCCAAAGCCACTGGCACCAGGGCCACAAGTGCCCTGTGCTGTCTGATGCCCTCCATGCCCCTGCTAGGGTCTGTGGAATGACTCACTTAATTCTCTCCTTATGGCAGCCCTTTCTGCCTAGGAGTCAGGCAGGTGCCCTTAGCACCATCTGGGTTTCTCTGCTCCTCTCTCATGGACCCAGATTTGTGCAGCTCTACCCTTTGCTCCTTCAGGTGAACTCTCCTGGGGGACTCATGAGAAAGGCCCCTTAGGGGGCCCCATGGCCCATTTGGCCATGATTCTCCAAATATGCTCAGGGGTGTCTGGATCCAAAGTAAATAAAGTTGAGGTTCAAGTTGAGACACTGTCACCCTTTAAAATGGACATAGATGGGACAATAGAACATCACCCACCAGCTCTGAAAGGAAGTTCACAGATATTTCCTTAGCTAAGCACAGAAACATGGGGACACTTTCCTAGCCCCCTCTGAATCACATCTTCAACGTGAACATTTGTCATTCCAGGGAAGAAACAGGAATATTCAAAAAGAGAAACTGGAAAGTGAGACCTAGAGTATAGTCTCAGTTGTACCATTAATGAGTCTGAGAAAGTCATTTCCTCTCCCTGGCCTCAATTTCCTTTTATGTCAAATGAGAGTAGTACTCTAAACTGGGGGTCAGCAAACTTTCTGAGTAAAAGGCCAGATAGTAAATGCGTAGTCTCTATTAGTAATACAGTTTCTGTCACAACTACTCAATTCTGCAGTTGTAGTACAAAAGCAGCCATAGGCAATGTGTGGCCGTGTTCCAATAAAACTTTATTTACAAAAACAGGCAGTGGGCTGGGTTTGACCCACAGGCCATATTTTGCCAACCCTAGGTGTAGATGATCTTCAGCATCTTTTTAAATAACAATAATTCCTTTAGGTGAGAAGTGGATTTTTTGATACTACACATACAATTCATTTAAATGTAAGACCCCCAATATAATAACTCCAACCATTTTTTTGTTGCTTTGGATAACATGTTTTCTTCTCTCCTTCAGTGATAAATCAAACCTCAACAGAATTTATTTAGAGGCTAGAATAACAGGTCAGGTGATGCTCTCACTGAGGAATTTGACAATATACATGACTAATCCTAGACCTCAAAGTGTTCACAATGTAATGAAAGAGACATACACATAAAGGCATAATTATAAAGCATTACAGTAATTGCTATAATCATGCTATTATCCATTATCAAGACTTAAGTTCTACTACATCCAAATTTGAGATGCTAGAGCAGACCAAGTTCAAGGACATTGCAATATAATACATGTAGGATATGCAGAAAATTGGTGGGCCATCTGAAATGCATTCTTGTGAAAATTGAGGGTGTGAGTTTTCAGGGAAGTCTTGACTCAGAATAGGACTGGTCCACAGAGCAAGGCTGTGTCAGATTACACTTGAGACCTAAAGAGTGGCCATCTGTGATAAAAGTCAGACCTTTGTTCAACTACAAAGAAGTAAGGCGTAGTTATGATACAGAACATGTGAAGAGAACTTTTTGTTCTGGAAGGTGCACATGACATTCCATTTGAATGAGAAACATCAGAGAGAGGCGTGCTTTCACTCTCACAAGGCACGATCCCCAGCTGCACAAAGCTTTGTATTTCTTGTTATATTTCCTTTTTCAGGGAGATGAGGGGCTGGTGGTAGAGATGCATGGACCACAGCAAGTTATTGTGCCATGATTTTGTCTTTGACGTACTTATTTCTGAAATTCATTATGACTTGAAATATCCTTTTCATAAAGACTGCAATAAAGTCCTTTGACAATATGGCTAGATGGATCAAAGGGCTTATCTCTGTTGAATCTTGAGTAGCCACCCAGATATCACTGGAGAAGCAACAATGCAGGTAATTCAAAACACCCTCAACTCACATTTAGTTGACTTTGGGATGTAGCACAGTTTTGCAGGAATATATTTATATTTCTTATATTTCATAACCTAATAGAAGCTTAAATAGTTACCTCAGCCTTCATTGCACAGATAATGAAAGAGAAGCTTAAAGAAGAGAAATTAAGTACTTGCCCAAGGTCACATAGTTAGTTAATGGAAGAACCAAAACTAGAACCTAGATCTTCTGATGCCACATTTCAAGCTCCATGAACCACTGGTAAGAACTACCTTTTATGCTGGTACACAGTGTGTGTACAAGATTACACCTATAATGATAAAACTGGTGGTTTTTATTCTGTCCTTTTCTATTTGATTATTTCCTTTTTAATAGTGCTGGTCATGGTCCACAAACTGACTACGAGGTCTCAGCTAGCATCTGTAAACACTGCTGTGGATCACAGAATTGCTTATATGCCATCCTAACCATATACCAAATGATGCTTTCATACAACAGTGAAAAAATATTTCCCTTGGAAAGATTACATTTCTACTGTCACTTTTTGTAAGTGAGTATAAAGAATTTGTGACTATTTGGTTTTCTTAGGGAAAAAAGATTAAATATGCATAAAGGGAGCCACAAATCTGTCAAGTATTTTCAGACTGCATTCAAAAACTCACCGTTTCCATGAACTCTTTCCACACTAGACTCATTGAGCTCTCTGATCTTCTCAACACTGATGTACCTTTTTGCAAAACATTTAGTCACTGATCCTAAACTTCAACTTTATCCCCCTTTTTCTAGAAAAATTAAGAAAAATTGCACTCACACACAAAAAATTCCATTGGCATCAGGGGACTCTTACCTGCTTATTCCCAAATCTGGGAGGTGTGGTGGAAGGCTCACATGTATGATACAGAAAGACAGGCATCCATACATGTCAAATACTATATATCTGAGAGCTGAAAATATGATGGGAATGCAACAAAAAGTCAAAATCAAGTGGTCCAGGATGGAAATTTGGCTTAAAAAAAATCAGTCTGGGTACAGTGGCTCATACCAATGATCCCAGCACTTTGGGAAGCGGGCGGATTGCTTGAGCTTAGGAGTTCAAGACCAGCCTGGGCAACATGGTGATACCCTGTCTCTACCCAAAATACAAAAATTAGTTGAGCATGGTGGCGTGTACCTGTAGTCCCAGCTACTTGGGAGGGGCTGAGGCAAGAGGATCACTTGAGCCTGAGAAGTCAAGGCTGCAGTGAGCCATGATCACACCACAGCGCTCCAGCCTGGGTGACAAAGCAAGACCCTGTCTCATTAAAAAAAAAAAAAAAAAAAAAAAAAAAAATCAGATTTCTAATGCAATTTTAGAAACTTTGCAGCCTGTGGATACCACAGACTCAACTGGATTCAACCATGCATTAGTCCTCCTCCCCAAACATCCTTCAGAGTTACACATTTCCAGCAAGTAATGCTTTGAAATTCATTTTGTTTTCTTAACCACCAGGCCTGCAGGAGATCAAGGCTAAGGGCAAGGAGCGGAAGGGAGACACACAAGATGCTCAAGTCTTTAAAAATCCCCATTGGGAGAATCACGCTACAAATGGACAAATCACATCCTGAAACGGTGGACTCTCTGAAGACCTTACAAAACAGCCTTCAGGCCTGATCTGTCTCCTTTCCCAGCTTGAACTGTGTTTTCCTAAAGTGGTTTCACTTTCCTCCTTCTCCAAAAGGTGGCATCAGAAAGGAGGGAGCAGGAAGGCACAGGCCAAACGCTCATCTCAATGGCTGCCTCAGCCATGCTCTGACAAGTGAGCTGATGGGAAAATTGCTCCTAATTAAATCACTTCATTAAAAAGAGACCATTTTCCAAGCGAATGCACTCCGCAGTTCTCGTGGTGGGTAATTTGTTGTGTTAATAAGCTGGAGAGGTTGAATTCCAAGGTTGCAGCCGCTGACAGCCTGCAGAAATAGGGACCATATTTTGGCAATGCCCTTGCCCTGTCGAGGGTACCGAGGAAAGCTGACAAATGGCAGTTCCTTATAATAGTTTTGCTCACTGGAGACCTGAGGGGCTGAGAATGATGTTTTCTAGTCTGTAGGTTTAGGATGCCAACAAGATAAAACAAATACCCAGAAAAAGGCGCTGTGTCTTTTGTTCGCTGAAAAATAAACAGGGGAGGACTTCCCTTTTGTAGATCCCACTGTGATAGAGGAAGAGGGTGCTTCTTCAGCTGTATTTGAACCGAAGCATGGAAAATTGCCATCTGCATTCAACTCTGTGGTTTTAGGGCAGCTGGATAGGCAGTGCTGCACAGTCTGAGGCTGTGGACGTTGAAGTTAGACCAAGTGTCAGTTCCAATCCTAATACTTACCAGCTGTGACACCTTGAACATGCATGGTAATCTCTCTAAGCCTCATTTTCCTCATCTGTCAAGACAGTCATAATACCTACCTCTTGGGATGGTGGTAAAGAGTAAAGAAGGTAATATTTGTAGAGTGCATAGTGTCTGGCAATAGGAAATACTTATTAAATGGTAGCAAAAGTTTTTTCCTCCACTTTACAGATGAGGAAATGGAGGATTACAGTGATTAAGTAGCTTAACCAAGGTCATAAAACCCTGAGTGGGAGGGTCCGGACTGCGTTTGGCTCTAAATCCAGGCACCATGATTTCACTGTTGGTACAGATGGAAGCAAGCACTTAAATGCATATGATCTTATTGGCTGTGAACTGAGCAGGACCTCTGATATTTCCATCTAGAGCAGGCCAATCACATAGTGCACAGATTATATTCCCTGATAGATATCTTGGCAAAAATGGTCCCAATCCCTTTGGTTCTTGGGCTGATCTTGTTTGAGGATTCTGTTGCTCAGAGCCCCTGAGCCCGTTTCTCTCTAGCTTCTAAAGAACATTTGGTCTTCTTGGTTCCCTGTAGCCAGTCTGCTGCTTCACTTTTCTTCTTTAGCAGCTCAGAAAGATTTCTTCCCTTATTTCCTGAAACCCCAAGGAAAACTGGTGGTCCTGGCTCTTGCCTTCTGACCTCCACTTCTTTGTCAAGTTTCCACTTTAGTTTGGCTTCTGTGGAAAATTCCACTGTGGACTTCTATGGATGAATGCACTCTCTAATTATATTGAATCTACAGAGATCCATTTTCATAACCCTAACAGGGTTAGTCCCTGAGTTCCTGTGACTGTTAGATGATCATGGACCCAGTGGATCCATTCTGCTGGGTACAAGGGGCCCTCAGGGAGGCTCACTGACGGTGGCCAGTCAACCGTCATGAGTCATTGCTATTGTGCTAGAAAAACAGAAATTTATGGCTTTGATCAATATCTTTCCTTAGGGCTCAGCATCTCTTGGCTCTATTCTGTTGTTGGCACTCTGAAACAGCAGCAGTTAAAAAAATTTTTTTTTCTACTGCAAATAAATTCTTTTTTGCTACAGTTTTTCTGAGGGCTCTCACTGCAAAAGAAACCAGGAACTGTACCATAATTTGGGTTGTGTTTAGTTCTCTTTCCCTCTCTTGGATTTCCTTCCTGCCTCCTTCCTTCCTCCTTCCTTTCTTCTCTTTTTCCTTCCTGTCTTTTCTTTCCCCTCAGTACCCTTGCTTTCCTACCCTCTCCCTTCTCCTATCCACTCTGTGTTTCCACATTCTTTTCAATTCAATAAATATTGATTAGGTACTCAATTGATTGTACTAGGTAACTCAGTACTCCCAAAATGAGATGGTCTCTGTTCTTAAGGAACTCATGCTTATAACTTAGTAGAAATCTTTCCTATATTGCCTTTTCCCCCCAATTTATAGTGAAGGCTGAAAATCTAGATACTATTTAGGGTTAGTAAATATTCTCTTATAAAAAGTCAAAAACTTCTTGAGGAGTCTCACTTAGTCATTCACACATTAGTATGATTTAATTTAATAAGATTGCTTTCCCTCTCATACCTAGTTAAACAGCTTGCCTTGTAAGAATAAAGATTCTGATTGGGGAAGGAGAAGTAGGAAATTTGGAACTATAAAACAATTTTTGGAGGTTGGCAGCCTCAGGGAAAGCCCTTGGAAGAGGATAAGAACACTGTTCATTAAGATAGAGATTCTTGTTTTAAAACGAAATCAGGCCGGACACAGTGGCTCACGCCTGTAATCCTAGCACTTTGGGAGGCCGAGGTGGGTAGATCACCTGAGTTCAAGAGTTCAAGACCAGCCTGGCCAAATGTTGAAACCCGGTCTCTACAAAAATATAAAAATTAGCCAGGCATGATGGCAGGTGCCTGTAATCCCAGCTACTCGGGAGGCTGAGGTGGGAGGATTGCTTGAACCCGGGAGGTGGAGGTTACAGTGAGCTGAGATCGCACCACTGCACTCCAGCTTGGGCAACAGAGCGAGACTCCATCTCGAAAAAAAAATTAATTAATTAATTAATTAAACAAGTAAATAAAAAATAAAATGAAATCAATAAAAAAAATATAGATATTCTTTTTACCCAAGGCTTGTCAAACACCTCTGTGACCTATAGTTTTAATTTGAACCAAGGCTGAGTGAGAGAATTTGGAGGGATTGTGATTTTAATTTCTCCAGTTGTAAGAATCTTTGACTCTACTCTCAGCAGCAAGAGGTGGAACTTTTTTACTGTCTTCTCCACTAGACTGTAAGCTCCATTAGGTTAAGATATGATCTGTCTTGTTCATAATTGTGTGCTCACTGCCTAGAACTATGCCTGGTATACATGTAGTAGGTGCTCAAGAGATACTTGATGAATAAATGAATGAATGAAAAAAGTGACAGTTGCATACAAACTGCTGAAGGGTGTAAACGAGGTGGAAATTGCATCAGGTTGAAGAACACTTTCTACACCCTGGTTTAGAAAGAGCTTCATGGAGAATAGTTTTCAACGCAGAGCTAGTGGACTGTTTGCCTGGACCTCAAGGACAACAGAGGAAGAAAATAACTGCTGAGAACCAGTAGGGAACATTACCCAGTTGGAGTAATAACACTTCCAAAAAGTGAACACTTTAACAATGAACTATTTCTTGAGCATAATGGAATGTACAATCAGATTGTGTGCATATTCTGATTGTACAGAATATGCCTGGTGGGATGATTTTACTTCTCTTCTGAGCAATCTGGGAATTGTCAGGAAAATGGAGATAGCTTCAGGCTAAGAAGGGATTGCCCAGGGAACTGCCTGGTGTTTCTGCAGAATCACTGCATGCTCCACAGGGCAGAGCCTCTCATTGAAGGCTCTGGGTGCTTTGTATCTCAAGAGTTGTCACCCCTTAAACCCAGGAACCCTCTCCAAATTTGTTCTACAGGGTTGTTCCTATCTGGAGTGACAAGTGACTACGCAGTCTGTTTGCAGGGAAGACTTTCCAACCCAGTGTGGCGTGGGTGTGGGGATGATTCTGCCCCAAGGCAGGGAGGAGAGAAAATGTCCTTCAGTGAGACCCTTCAGCCTGAGAATCCATAATTACCGTGTAGACTGGCTGCATAATATGACCTATTCTCCAGCTCCCTGAGTGATGGCAGGTGTGGTTAACTCGACAGTCTTCCTCCTGTGCCGTACATCTTCTCCTTTCCCCAATTACACCGACAGATTATTCCTTCCTGGTGTCCTTTTTTTTCCCTTTGTCTCAGAAATAACGAGGTGTCATGAGTCTGCCATACATCACCCTATCGGCAGCGAGTGGTGACTTCTGATTAGTGGAATACCATGGGAGCAGAGGGAGGGAGCGTGGCAGCACCGGCTGCTCTGCCTGGCAGCCCTGTCGCGCCTCAGAGACTGGCGTTTTGTCTGTGTCAACAAGAATCCGCCTGGATATTACTCATGTAGCCGGACATAATGAATTCAGCTGTTTGCTAGTGCAGCAAATAGGTTTTTTTGCCAGTGATATTAGGATCAAGCTGAGTAATAGGATGTGTCCATACCAGAGTAATGTCCATTTATTAGCTTCTGTGAGAACACACACACATTAAGAAAAATCACATTTCGCGTGGCTCTGTAGCTGAGGGAATTGCATGTTAAAAATTTCCACTCAAGCAACCTCAAGCTAAGGATTTGTATTCCAAAGAACTGGACCTATTTCACCAAAAGTATTTACTTTCGAAGTAGAAAAATCTTACAAGCTTAATGAGCACAAATGACTCTGCCTTATGTAAAAATCCCTCTGGGAAAGTTAACCTTAGTGGAGGAGAAAAGCTGGAGGTCTACAGAGAGGGCAACCCAGGGGAAATGGCTGACACATGCTGTCTTTCAACATAACGTCAATTGGCTTTTTTTAATGGCAACATAAGATTGACTTTAATTGCCTAGGAGGTTACGCTGGGAACAAGAACAGGCTTCTAAGTCATCAGGAGAAGCAGCTGTCTACTTGATTTCAGGGGCTGGGGGCATATTCCCTTAGTCCTCCTTAGAAACCTCTCATCAGCTCAACCTCTCATCAAATGGTGGGACTAAACTCCCACCATTTCAGATTCATCCCTTGGCTTGAGATTTGCCTTTGCCCAGTGAAAGATGTCACTAGGAAGTGCCAAACGTGAAGCCTCTTAGAATTGTACAGTGCCAGCCCCCAGAGACTTAGTAGTTTGGAACTCTTTCTTATGAATGAGTTTTGATGGGAGAGAAGGTGAAAATTGGAGGGCTCTGGGATCTGGTGGAGGAGAAAGAGAATATAGACAAAGTAGAGAGGGGGTGACTAGTAGTTCCAAAAAGGTAGGAAAAAGTGGATTTGGCATGCCTGTAGTCCCAGCTACTTAGGAGGGTGAGGTAAGAGAGTTGCTTGAGCCCAGGAGTTCATGGCCAGCCTGGTCAACATAGTGAGACAGACAGACGGAAGGAAGAAAGGGAGGGAGGGAGGGAGGAAGGGAGGGAGGAAGGAAAGAGAGAAAGAGTCGAGACCAGAAACAGAGACCTAAAATTTTGCCTATTTCACAGTCTTGCAAAGGAAAACGTAATAAATAACAGTCCCGATCTTTGTCACTTGGAAGTTTACAAATGTAGAATGCCTTCTAAGGCACATCCCATGCAGCCTAGACAACCGCTTTCCACGAAGCCAAAGGGACAGTGGAAATGTCTTAGTGGTATGCCTTCTTCTAGCTGGAAAGGAAAAGGCAGACATGAAGGTGAATATTCTGAGGTGAGGCAAACCCACCTCCTGTTTTCCCACACAGAGGGCCCCACGCAGTCATAGCAGTGGAGGTGTTGGGTGATGCTCTGCTCCTCCATGGGTCTGTCAAGCATGTCTCCCATGGAAGGCACCCCCTTGGCACCAACTTGGCAATTGTAGCCGTCAGCATTTTGTGATCTAGTGAAAGTGTCCATGTTCCCTGGAAGACAGTAGGGCAATTCCTTCAGCTCAGACCACCAGGTCAGAGAACGCAGGGGGCTCCTGCCAGACAAGCACATCTCCCAGCCCAGCCCCCGTGGCCCTGGCTCCACTTTCACTAGTTCCCAGATGCCTCTCCGGAGATCAGGTTGCGTTCCCTGCCCTTCACAGACGTCCCTCACACCGACTCAACTTCTCGAGCCATTTTTTCCTCAAGACCAACTTCTGAATAGATTACTGGCTCATGAGCTACGCTGTTCCTTGCTATCTTAGAAAACAAACACAGGGGCACTCTTTTCTTTGTTTTAACCACCTGCCACCGGCAAGAAACAGCCATGTTCCAAAGAAGTTACGATCATAAGGTGAACACACAGGTTCCAGCATTTTACTCATTTCTTCTGGTCACTGTCCCACATTGCAGATGCCAGCTTATCCCTCGACTATTGCTCAGTCCTTGGCCCTCTTTTCTTCTCAAGCTGCATCTGAACAATCACATGACAATCACATGACTTTGTCATTTTTAGGCTGAATTCTTCCAAGTCTCTGTCTCTGGTCTCGAATCTTTCTCTGAACATGAAACCTCCATATCCAGCTGCAGGATCAGCAGTCTCACTTTAGTGTTCTCCAGCCAGGACCAACTCAGCATGTCCACACAGAGTTCATTACGACTTCCCCTACAGTCTGCTCTTCCACCTGAATTATTTATATTGGCTTCAGGCATCCACCTAATCACTTAAACCCTACACCTGGAAATCTTCCCAGACAACTTCTTCCTCTCCAGACCCTCAAATCTACTTACAAAATCTTATATCTTTTTAACACCTCTGTTACTGACCCCTTCCTTCTTCTAGACACAGTCCTCTTTCCCTAATCCAATTTAGGGCCTCCTTGTCTCTTGCTCTGCTCTGGTAGTAAGCTCACCCTCTGGGCTTGCCTGTCTCTAATAATTCTTTTGTAATCCTACCAAAGAATGGCTCCCATAAGGCAGATATGATTGTTATCCTCCTGATTAAAACCCGACAGTGGACTCCTCTTTGCCCTTGGCATATAATCTGAGCTTCTTTGAATGTCCTATGAGGTAGCCCACGAAATGTCTCTGCTGAACCCTCTGACCTTATCTCTGGGGAAGCTGTCCACCTGCCTCGCCCCACTGCCCCCTTGCCATGCTCCAGGTCAACCACTCTCCCTACCTCCCTGCTACCCACTGACCCCAATGTCACTAAGTCACTTTTGTCAAGAGAGTCACTCTCCTTGGCAAGTAGGTCTGAAGTTAGATTTGGGGTAGAACAATAACTGTAAAACACATGGCCAAAAACTCAGGACAATTCAACTGCCTTCCCAATCTAAGGACCATTATGGTGGTTTGGCATAATGAAGGTGGGCTGACCCTCTATTTCTAATATAAATAGAATACAGCTTAGCATAGCTCATTTAAAGTGCTTAAATAAAGAAGCAGCTTCTGGAGTCAGAATTCTTAGGTTCAAATGTTACCTCATCAATTAACCCTTAGTTTCCTCATTTTAAAAATAGAAGCATTGGTATTCACATGAAATTGTTGGCAACAAATTTTAAAAGTGGAAATAATAATACCTGTCTCATAAGGTTGTGAGAAATAAAAATATTAATATGGTGCCTGGCAAAGGGTGTTTGGTAAATGTTAGCTATTGATGTTATCATTATTAATAGCATTTATAGAATTCCATTTCTTTTCTATCAAATTATCAGAAGGAGATTTTACCTTCGAAACTGTTGGAGAGATGACCATGGGATTCAGCAGTCAGGCTTGCATTCTGATTGGTGGCAGGAGCAGATTGACAGGTGCAGCAGGAAAACAAAGACATACAACCCATTCCTTCCTCCCCCACACTGTTTTATATTTTATAAAGGGAATTCACAGCCTAGTGGATACGGGGTTGAGTAAAAGTACTTCCTGCCTCTATTGAAGCTTCAGGACACTGGACTGGAGTCTTCCACAATTCAGCCAGAACCCAGGGTACTCCAAACCACTTTGTGATCCTCCATCTCTGTAGGCTACAGTTTATAAAACACTTCTATCTCCATGATTTCATGTGATTCCCAGAGTGACTCATGAGGTTTCAGACCTCTCCATCCTCAGACAGACCCTGTCACATGCCTCTGAAAATGCTTTAGTTGTTGCCATGTGGATGGACACTCAGAAAATACTTTAAAAAAAAAAAATCTAAACTGCTTGCTTTAGTGGTTTTGTGTAAAATGCAACCAGAGAGAGAGAGAGAGAGAGGTCCTTGGCAGATAGGTTTAACTCAAATCACTGAGCAGGAAAATATCTGGGAATCTGGCCTGGTTTGAGAAAAAGAGCCAGCTTTTTTAGCTGACTAGAGAGCAGCTTAAAAAGGAAAAAAATGAAAGGAAGGAAACTAATGAGGCATCTCTTTCCTCACAGATAATGTGGGATGCTCACCCAGTGGTTTGCAGTGGCTACAGCATCTGTTACACTTCAGTGACAACCAAAATGCCTTGGAGATAAGACAACAATTATGAGACCTGCTTGAGAAGAAATGAAAGAAAACCCAATCGCAGCCAAATAGCACTGCCATCTATTAACAAATTATTACAGGCTGAAGCAGTCTTTAATGAGATTTTAACAAAAGAAATCCAGTCTTGTTCCTCTGGGGCAAAGAGATTTTATCATCATGTGAATGGTTAAGCAGGTAAGAGGACCTCCCTTGGAGCACCAATAAAGAGAAAATGTGTGAGCCCTGTGTTCTCCCTCTCCAAGGAGCTCTAACTCCCAGTCAAGATGAAAACATATTGGAGAAAGGACCCAAATAATACTGTTCCAGAGAAAGTTTTAGTTTAGTAAGTGGCCTGATGAGACAAGTGAGTATTCAAAAAAGCTGTATTAGACCTTTGTGTTGTGATTCCAATCCTTTGTGCTTTTGGTTATCCTAAAGGACATTGTGACATTCTCAAGAGATTCTTAAGTCAAAGGGTATAGTGGCAACATTAATCTGGAGGAACAATGAAGCTAGCTAGAGTCAGGACGTGCCTGCCCATGATCTTGTAGACCCACTGGGGTTTCAGAAGAGAAACTGATATGAGTCTAATGTTGTTAGTTCAAAGGAGGAAAGAAAAATTGGTTGCATGGAGTGAGTCAGAGGGAGGGAGGAAAATATGCAGTCCAAGGAAGTCGGTGAGAAGCCCGCTCAGATGCACTAGACTGTCTTGCATGAATTGGGTTTTTCTTTTTGCTTCTCCCACCCCTTTCATTGATCCACTACGTGAACACTTATAGGCAGCCAATAATATCAGGAGAAATATAGCCATTTTGATACTAATATTTCTGTTACCCAGGAATTTGCTTTATTTGCAATATGAGCCTCCAATGCCTGATTAAAGGAAACTGAGGACTAACCTGGGTGATCCAAGAATTCCTAGACTGTTAAATAGTGTAGTTTCTTTAGAAAGGGACTCTGGACCTCCTCCTGGGAGGAGCCTTAGAAGGGCAGTGAGGCTAGGGTGAGTAAGCAGGCTCCCCACGTGAGGGTGAGTCAGGGAGACTGATTCCTTAGCAGCTGGGGCACTGTGTAAGACTACGTCACCTTCTGTGGCAGAAGAACAACCACAATCACTATGTGTTATGCTGGTTATATTCCCCTTGAGACCAATGGCAGACACTGGCTGTTAAAATATTTAGTGTCTGATAATGTATGATTAATGGGTAAGGAGTAGAGTAGCACTTCTTTTAATGGCTCACACTGTAGGAAAGAGATTTAATAGAATTGAAGATGAACTTAGAATGACATAGAAGATAAATCTCAGGAACGTACATCTTTGGGACAGATAGCTCATTTTGTTAGAATATAGTGCTATTATTGTTATTAGCTAACATTTATTAAGCACTGACTAAGTGCCAGGAGCTGCTTCAAGTGTTTTACGTATGTTAACTTAATGCTTCTTGTGCTGTGATAATGAGCCAGTATTTGTTTTTTAAATTTCCAATGTGTCATGGACAAATGCTTTTGTGGAATTCAATAAAAATAAATTACTACAAAAGTGAAAAAAAAATTAAAACATGCAAAATTCAAGCTCAATTTTTTCCTTTTTTAACTATTAGCTGTAAGAGACATCAAATTGTCAAAATGCTATAAAAGTTTCTAAATCCTTACTCTTAGTTGCTATACGTATCTCCCCGTAGACTAGTAACAAACCTTCACCAACTGGCGCAAGTCTACGAACTCTGTTGAAGAGCACTGTATTAACTCATTTAAACCCTCCTAAAAGTTCATGACGTCATTAATATTTTCATTCTACAGATGAGGAAACTGAGGCACAAAACAGTTATCTTGCTACTGAGGCCAGTCAATTAGTTTTGCAAAGAGAAAAATATCTATTTCATGGTCACAGAAGAGTACCCCAACTAGTCACTGAAAAATTAAGAGTAGCATAAGAAAAGCAAGCCTTAATGAGAAAGTATGAATGGAGTTTTATTATCCAGGCTTCTGTGGAAAAACCAGGAAAGGCATAGGCCATACTGGTGACATTTTGGGAGTGTCACCGTTGCTATATTGGGCAATAGGATGAAGTGTCTTAAGACTGTGGCTTGAGGGCTAGACTTTCTGGGTTAGTTTTCTTGCTTGGCCACCTACTTCCTATGCGCAGTTGTTAGTTTCTATCTGAAAGGATGGTTGGGAGGATTAACTGTGTTGTATATGTAAAGTATTTTTTAAAAATGCCTGGCACATAGTAAGTGGTTTATAAGTGTTATTGTATTTGCATATGAAAAACCACCCATTGCAAAAATTTCAGATTCCTTAAATGCCTCCATCTATAGTGGTTTGACTTCTGATTAAACAAGCCTATCCTCCCTGCCTTAAACTAGAGCCCCTGGTAAAACTCAGCAGTGCTGCAGTGGTCACTGCCAGACCTCAGGTACAGAGCAACGTTTGGGGCTGGATAATTATTTTTCTTGAGGAGGGGGTGGTTACTGTGTGCATTGTATGATAGCAGCATTCCTGGTCTTTACCCACTAGATGCCAGTATTATCCCCTTCCAGCTGTGACAACCAAAAATGTCTTCAGTCATTGCCAAATGTCCCCTGAGAGGCAAAATTGCCCCCAGTTGAGAACCACTGATACAGAGAAAAGAGAATATTGATAACAGTCTCTTATATTTTCATAGCTTTTCAGTGTAAAAAGGCTTCTGCATGTTTTAACTCAGTTGGGAAAAAGAAAAAGAGGAAAAAGATAAAATAGATCAGAAGAAAAAAGAGAAGGGAATAGGGGAGGGAGAAGGAAGGGAGAGAATGCAGAGTGCAAAGAGATGAAGTGGAGCAGACACGCAAAAAACAAAGGAATGAACAAACAGGTGTGTGAGTTTGTGTGATCGCCCATGAGCGCATCTACACCTGCAAATCCTCCCAGCACCTCCCATTCAACATGTTCAAAACTGAACTCAGCAGGTTGTAGATAAGGAAGGAAGCTGATGTCCATGGCGGTCTAAGGTGTGACCTTGGGCAGATTCTTCTCAGTCTAGTTTCCTTGATTGTAAAATGAAGATAATACCACGTGCCTTAATGGACTGTGTGAGCTGGCATGGAGCTGACCTATCACAGTGTGCTCTTGCCCATCCTTTTCCCTCCTCCTTGTCTCATGCCAGTAAGTTAAGGGCTAGGTTCTGGCACTCTTCCTCCTTCACAGCACTGCCTCCCGGACAGAGGTCCTGTCCCTCACTAGCACCCAGTGCTTCTGTCCATTTGATGCCACCATTCCATTCCTCTTCCCACTGCCCCAATTCATGGCCAGCCCTCAACACCGCACATCTAATGTCCTGTGGGAGCCTCCTAGTAGTTGGACTTCCTGGCTCCAAGCTCTCCCCACGCCAATCCAGATTCAGGTTCTAAAACAGCACTGGGATCAAGTCACTCTAATTTTTTAAAAAACTGTTCACTGGCTCCCCAGCATAAAATCTAAACTTCTTCACCTATCATTAAACGCCATCCTCTCTCCCTACTTCCCACTGTCTGTCTCCAACCTATCTTCCTAACCTTAATTCTCCATTGTGCTACCCATCTCTCTCTCTCTTTTTTAAGACGGAGTTTCGCTCTTGTTGCCCAGGCTGGAGTGCAATGGTGCAATCTCGGCTCACTGCAACTTCTGCTTCCCGGGTTCAAGTGATTCTCCTGCCTCAGCCCCCCAAGTAGCTGGGATTACAGGCACGCACCACCATGCCCAGCTAATTTTGTATTCTTGGTAGAGATGCGGTTTCACCATGTTGGCCAGGCTGGTCTTGAACTCCTGACCTCAGATGATCTGCCCGACTCAGCCTCCCAAAGTGCTGACATTACAGGCATGAGCCACCACGCCCGGCCTGTACTTCCCATCTCTTTTGAAACTAAAAAGTCAGTTTCTTATGCACACCCTATGTTTTCCTCATCTTCCTGGGATTCCCTTCCTAAATCCCCACAGTCTATCCCCATCCCTCAAGGCCTATTTCACTTGTTAACTTCCTTCATGAAGCCTAACCTCCTCTTCCTGGACATGTACAGTTGTCCTTTGTTATCATCAGGGGATTGGTTCCAGGACCCTACAGATACCAAAATCCATGGATGCCCAAATCCTTTATATAAAATAATGTAGTATTTGCACATAACCTATGCACATCCTCCCATATAGCTTATCTCTAGATTACTTATAATACCTAATACAATTTAAATGCTATGTAAATAGCTGTTATACTGTATATTTTAAATTTGTTTTATTTATTTTATTCTCAAATAATTTTGATCTTTGGTTGATTGAATTCACATATGCGGAACCCAGGGACATGGAAGGACTATATTCAGTCTCTCTGATCTCTGGATTCTCATAGCACTTTTTCTGCTTCTACTATGTAGCATTTATGTCTTTCCACCTTGTACCATAAATATCTATGTGTTTATGTCTTACTGTGTCCCGAATTGGTAGGTTCTTAGTCTCACTGACTTCAAGAAGGAAGCTGCGGACCCTCCTGGTGAGTATTACACTTCTTAAAAGCAGCATGTCTGGAGTTTGTTCTGATGGTCGGATGTGCTCCGAGTTTCTTCCTTCTGGTGGGTTCCTGGTGTCGCTGGCTTCAGGAGTGAAGCTGCAGACCTTCGTGGTGAGTGTTACAGCTTATAAAGGCAGTGTGGACCCAAAAAGTGAGCAGCAACAAGATTTATTGCAAAGAGCAAAAGAACAAAGCTTCTACAGCTGGAAAAAGACCAGAACAGATCGCCGCTGCTGGCTCGGGCAGCCTGCTTTTATTCTCTTATCTGGCACCACCCACATCCTGCTGACTGGTCCATTTTACAGAGAGCCGATTGGTCTGTTTTACCGAGAGCTGATTGGTCCGTTTTGACAGGGTGGGGATTGGTGCGTTTACAATCCCTGAGATAGACACAAAAGTTCTCCAAGTCCCCACTAGATTAGCTAGACACAGAGTGCTGATTGGTGCATTTACAAACTTTGAGCTAGATACAGAGTGCCGATTGATTTACAATCCCTTAGCTAAACATAAAGGTTTCTCCAAGTCCTCGCTAAACTCAGGAGCCCAGCTGGCTTCACCCAGTGGATCCCGCACCCGGGCTGCAGGTGGAGCTGCCTGCCAGTCCCGCGCCTTGTTTCCGCACCCCTCAGCCCTTGGGCGGTGGATGGGACGAAAGGGCGCCGCGGAGCAGGGGGCGGCGCTCGTCGGGGAGGCTGTACAGGAGTCCACGGCGGGTTGGGGGAGGCTCAGGCATGGCGGGCTGCAGGTCCCGAGCCCTGCCCCGCGGGGAGGCAGCTAAGGCCCGGCGAAATAATCGAGCCAGCGTCGGTGGGCCGGCACTGCTGGGGGACCCGACGCACCCTCCGCAACTGCTGGCCCGGGTGCTAAGCCCCTCACTGTCTCCCGGGCCGGCCGGCCGTTCCGAGTGCGGGGCCCGCGAAGCCCACGCCCACCCAGAACTCGCGCTGGCCCGCAAGCGCCGCGCGCAGTCCCGGTTCCCGCCCGTGCCTCTCCTTCCACACCTCCCTGCAAGCTGAGGGAGCCGGCTCAGGCCTCAGCCAGCTCAGAAAGGGGCTCCCACAGTGCAGCAGCGCGCTGAAGGGCTCCTCAAGCGTGGCCAGAGTGGGCGCCGAGGCCGAGGAGGCGCCGAGAGCGAGCAAGGGCTGCGAGGGCTGACAGCACGCTGTCACCTCTCAATCCTGTCTACTGTTCTGCTAGAGAGGCAACCTAAATGCCAGGCCAAGGTGAGGAACAATTATTTGCTCGATCAACTTCCCAGAAGTTTCTATCAATAATTCTTCTGGGTTCAGAGTTCTCAGAAATATTGAAACAAAGTTGGTTTCTAATTCTGTCTAAAGAGATAACATTTTTACTTTGAAGGAGACATCATATTACTCTTCTTACATTCCCACTTATTTCTATACAGGAGGTAACTTCACTAACTGTTCAAATATCCACTCTACTGGTTCCTCCCCAGGTAGAAAAAAAAAAAGATTAATTCTTTAATTTTTATAGTGAGCAGGGCTATTGGCTTCGAAAACAGGAAACCAGGCCTAGCAGGTCGTCTGGTCCGGGCTTCCACATCTATCTGTCTTCTAGGTGAAGAGAGCCCATTGCATCTTCCTTGCCCATGCAATAGAGAGAACTAGGTCTGTCTTGCTTGTGACAGTGTGTGTGACAAACCTTGTGGCCGTTTGCCTTAGTGAATTAACGGCAAACTCAGAGTCTCTGCACTCTACACATTCCTCACCTTGGAGGCTCGTGCCTGTCCCAAGGCCCAGATTCCAGTGCAGAAGTGAGAAGCCCCCAGTTTGGCACCAGTTTCAAGCAGCTTTTCTCTATCCGAAGTTGTACCACAGATTCTCATATTGTAGAGATTATTGGGCACTTGCCAAAGTGTTGATAAAGCTAATATTTTTGTCTTTTTTTGGCTAGCGGTGCTTATGTGTATTATCTAAGAGTCAGAATCCAGAGAGGAAAAGAAGGTGGTTTTACATCCAGAACTGCTGGCTCTGTTGCTGGGTTAGGAGCTTTCTCCATCTTAGTCTGTTCTATATCAAGGCTAACCTTACTTTCATGGATCAGCGAATCTGCAGGCCCTTTCAGTGATTTTTAAAGCCATACACACAAATACTATCTAACAACCCTCAAAGATGGCCTGCCACTAGAAATTTATTCATTTTACAGTTACCAAAGTAGGAGGATGGAGACACCTTCAGTAATATTTGTTTAGGGACCTAGAATTCAAAACTAAAAACTATGTAGTCTAATTTTGTCACAAATAGCTCATACATGTTAGCAAGTTAATTCTGACAAAAGTCAATCTAGGCGGGCTTACTTATATTTCTACTTATCATCTTAAAAATAAAGTTTGAGTTCCAGTTCCACTACCAGTTGTTCTGTGATTTGGATAAGGCCTATTCCTGGGCCTCCATTTCCTCGTCTAGAACAATGGGTGTTTTGATCCAGACCATCACTGACAACCCTCCTGCTCCTATGTCCTTTTCATACTCAGAAGTTAGCATTTGAGCCTACGTTGCCTTCAGGGTGTATTTTGGTGGCTCTGAGGGGTTTGGGGAGAGGCGTAGATCTAGAGGAAAATTTAATGAACATAAAGGGAGAAACTTGCCAGATGCAAAGTGGGAGTTTATTCCAGGAATATTAAATTATCATGAAATACATCCATCTACATTTATTAAGAAAAGGAAGCAAAACTCTTCTTGCCTGAAGCCTTCATTTCTAAAGCATTAACAAATTATTCATTTCCTTCATGAGCTCTTTAGTCCTTGGGGTATTTAACACCAGGAGTTTGACCATATTATGACTCATCCTTATATCACATGATAAAGATGATACTAAATATTGTAAACATATGACAGTGGATATAAGTTATGAATCCTCATTAATTTATTTTGCTTTTAGCTTAATGGCTTAATACTTTGCAGTAAACTTCTTTTTACCCAAAACAGGACTGGTGTGTCTCAGATTTGCAGTATTTTCATGAGTAAATACCACTGACCACATTAAGAAAGCATTCTTCTTTTATGCAGATGTGTGCCAAAGATTATTAAAATGAGAAAGAATTTTACTTTCTCAGCTACTTTAAAAAAATAAGATTTTAAAACAGGCCATATCATTATTTAGCTGTATACTCTATGTTAGTTTTCCGTGACTGCATAACACATTATCACAAACTTAGAGCAACATCCAATTCTTGGCTCACAGTTCTGTAGGTCAGAGTGTGGGCTCTGCTGGATTCTTTACACAGGATCAAACAGGGCCAAAATCAAGGTGTTTGCCTACTGGCTCTTCCCTGGAGGATCTGGGAAGAATCTGCTTTCAAGGTCATTCAGGTTGTTGACAGAATTCTATTCCTGTGGTTGTAGGACTGAAGTCCCATTTCCTTGCTGGCTATTGGTGGGGGGCTGCTCTTTGGTCCTTAAGGTCACTCACATTCCTTGGCAGATGACCCCTTCCTTCTTCGAGCCAGAAATGGTGCATAGAATCCCCTTTGTGCTTTGAATCTCTGACTCCTCTTCTGTTGCTAGCCAAAGAAAACTCTCTGCTCTTAAAAGGTTCATCTACTGGGTCAGGCCCACACAGATAATCTCTGTAACTCAAGGGTAACTGATTTGGGACTTTAATTATATCTGTAAAATACCTTCTCAGCATTAAGACGATTAGTGTTTGACTAACCAGGGACAAGCATCTTGAGGGGACATTTTTATAATTCTATCTATCTGTCATACATGACTAACCAGGGACAAGCATCTTGAGGGGACATTTTTATAATTCTATCTATCTGTCATACACAGTTGTCCCTTGGTATTCATAGGTGATTGGTTTCAGGACCTCCCCGAATAGCAAAATCCACAGATGCTGAAGTCCCTGGTAAAAAATAGTCTAGTATTTGCTTATAATCTATGCACATTCTCCTGTATACTTTAAATCAACTCCAGGTTACTTATAATACTTAATACAATGTAAATGCTATGTAAGTAGTTGTTTTTAGGGAATAATGACAAAGAAAAATGGTCTGTACATGTTTGGTACAGATGCAATATCTTTTTCCAAATTATTTTCTACCTGTGGTTGATTGAATCCATGGATACAGAACTCACGGATATGGAAGGCCAACTGTACTTTAATGCAATTAAGCAAATTATCTAACCTCTTTTTTTTTTTTTTTTTTTTTAAGAATCCTACTCTGACAGCTTTAATGAGTAGACCTACAAAGGGATTATGCTTATGATAACTTTTCTACATCAGCCAACAAAACAAAATAATAAAAACAACAACAAAAACTGTTCACACTGGATCTATAAGATGCCAAAGCACATGAATAAAAAATAGACTTAATCATTATCAGTCTTGTTCACTGCCATTTGCCCAGCTCTTGGAACAGAGCCTGGCCCAAAGTAGGTGCTCATTAAACATAGTGTTTGCTGAATGAATGGATGTACAGCACTAATTACAGCCCTTTAGTTAACTATTCATCAAGTGCTCCCTGCACACAGTGGACTTGTGCTGAGTATAGTGAAGGAAGATTCATTGTGCTGGTTGATTTTATGTGTCAACCCAGCTAGGCTATGGTACCCAGTTGTTTGGTCAAACACTAGTCTATATGTTGCTGTGAAGGTATTTTTTAGATGTGATAACACTTAGATAAGTAAAGTTTGAGTTAAGCAGATTGCCCTCCATAATGTGGGTGGGTCTCATCCAATCAATTGAAGATTTTAAGAGAAAAGACTCAAAGCGGGTGGATCACTTGAGGTCAGGAGTTCAAGACCAGCCTGGCCAACATGGCAAAACCCTGTCTATACTAAAAAAAAACAAAAACAAAAATGAGCCGGGTGTGGTGGCACATGTCTGTAGTCCCAGCTACTCAGAAGGGTGAGGCAGGAGAATCACTTGAACCCAGGAGGCAGAGGTTGCAATGAGCCAAGATTGCACCACTGCACTCCAGCCTGGGTGACAAAGCGAGACTGTCTCAAAAAATAAATTAAAAAAAAAAAAAAGAAAAAAGACTGAGGTTCCCTGAGGAAGAAGAAATTCTGCCTTCAGATTTCTTTCAGACTCAAAACTGCAATATCAACCCTTCCATGGGTCTGTGGTATTCTGGGAACAGGGAAAAGAACAGCCCAACTAAAGAATCCCAAAGGTAGAGAAACATGCTGTTATGGAACCTGGAGCTAGGTTGCAGAGAGCCCTGATAAGCATAGAACATAGGCTGCAAAAGCCTTAAAGATTCATCTTTTAAATAAACAGCATTAAGTACTTCTCTTTCTTGGGCAGGCTAGAGTTCCTATCATCTTGCCCAGGCCTCTCATCTTGTAACAAGAAGCTGAGACCCAGGGCGAGTGTCCTTGGGTCACAGGGGAAATCTTTGCAGGAGAATGCAATCTTCTACTGCCTCAGCCAGCACTCTGGCTACCACATTTTCCTGCTTCCTGCGTCTCCAAACTCATCTGCCCGCTCCCGCGTTGCTTACTGCAACTCAACCACACTGGTTCTCTTGCTGCTCCTCAAATGCTCTAAGTTTGTTCCCACTTCAGAACCATTACACTTGTTCCCTCTGCCCAAAAGCCAAAAGGACCTTGCCTTGGGTTTTCACACACTGGAGCTTCTTGTCTCTGATCTCAGCTCAGCTGTTGTCTTCTCAGAAAAGTCTTCCCTGACCACAGGCTTGAATGGTGCCTCATCCACATCTGTCCCATTGCCCTGATTTACTTTACTTTTTTTTTTTTTTGAAATTTTTTTTGAGACAGGGTCCCACTCTGTCGCCCAGGCTGGAGTGCAGTGGCACAATCTCAGCTCACTGCAGCCTCCCTTTCCCGGCTTCCTGGGTTCAAGTGATTTTCATGCCTCAGTCTCCTGAGTAGCTGGGACTATAGGCATGTGCCACCACGCCCGGCTAATTTTTGTGTTTTTAGTAGAAACGGGGTTTTGCCATGTTGGCCAGGCTGGTCTTGAATTCCTGAGCTCAAGCAATCCACCTGCCTCGGACTCCCAAAGTGCTGGGACTACAGGTGTGAGCCCCGCATCCAGGCTACTTTCTCTATTGTACTAATCAATGTCTAGAATTACTATTATTTACCTCTCTATTGTTTGTTTCCCCAAATAGAATATAAATTCCCTGAGAGTAGAATTTGTTCCCTAATGTGATTTGCTCATTGCTTTAACCCCAGCACCTTGAATAATGTACATATTAGGTACTCTATAATTATGAATCGAATTAATGAGTGTTGAATACAGATCTCAGCTCTTGCAAAGTGGTTTAAAGGGGAAAAGAGATCAAGAGAAGCAAAGAGGCATTTTAATGAGGTAAGCGGAGAAGCCGCCAGCAATCACCTCTGGTCCCACAGCAATGCCCTTTCCCTTCTTCCATTTTTTTTTCAAAGCAGATGCCTCTAGATGGAATTGTTAAGGTCACAGTTCTTGCTGGATAAAAATCACAAATCGTGCTGACTTCAGCTCACCATTAAAATTCCCCACAATGCCAGTTTCAAAACAAAGTGCTCTCCGAAAGATGAAACCTTATGTGTTCCTCCCTTAACGTTCCCCTCTTAACCGCGCATCATATGAAGCCTGTCAGCTTCCCTGGACTCACTGTGCTTTATCACTAATCCTTCACTTTTCCCTTTCTGCCTCAAAGGAGGATGCTCCCCGCTTCTCTTACTGAACCAAACATGGATTTGCTTATGCTGTGCAGTAAAGCTAAACATCCACCCTGAGGTTTTGCAGCAAAAGAAAGGAGGATGTTTATTTGCAGGGCCCCAAACAAGGAGAATCTGGCAGTTTACACTTCAGACCTGACCTACTTGATGGCTTACAAGCAAGGCTTTTTGTTGTTGTTGTTTTGTTGTTGTTTGTTTGTTTGTTTGTTTTGAGACAGGGTCTCACTCTGTCATCCACGTTCAGCGTGTGCAGTAGTGTGATCTCAGCTCACTGCAACCTCCACCTCCCAGGCTCAAGCGATTCTCCTGCCTCAGCCTCCAGAGTAGCTGGGATTACAGGCATGCACCACTATCGCCCGACTAATTTTGTATTTTTAGTAGAAATGGAAACCGGTTTCACCATGTTGTTCAGGCTGGTCTTGAACTCCTGGGCTTAAGCGACCCTCCCACCTTGGCCTCCCGAAGTGCTGGGATTACAGGTATGAGCCACCGTGCCCAGCCTCAAGCAAGGTTTTTTCAAAGGCTGAGATAAATTTCAGGAAATCAGAAATCACAAGCAAAATGGTAAATCAATACATGGAGGTTATATATTGGTTTGGCCTAAAAAGGTGGTATATCTCGAATTGGGGCTTTACAGGTCACAGGTGGATTCAAAGACTCTCTGGTTTGCAATTCACTAAGGAAGCAAAGCTTTGTCTAAACATTTGGGGTTGGAAGAAAAGAATGTTAAGATCTAGCATGTGGGCATGACTTTCTCCAGGGCCCTCAGGAAGAAATTTAGAACAAAGAATGATAGAGTTCAGTCCTCAGTTCTCCCGTTTGAGGTCTACATGCCAGCAGACAGTATTTTCCATTTGGTGGGGTGCGGGGGAAGGTAGGGGCGGGTCCAGGTTTCTGAAAAACAACTCAGGGACGAGGTATGTTAAGATGTTATCTTTAGTTTCTCTAGAGAACCAAACATCCTGTGACTCTAACTTTCTTGGCTATTGTTTTAAG
Organism: Homo sapiens; assembly: GCF_000001405.40. Lineage (NCBI taxonomy): Eukaryota > Metazoa > Chordata > Mammalia > Primates > Hominidae > Homo > Homo sapiens. Next base: position 209,895,982 of record NC_000001.11, read on the forward strand.
CTATTAGATTACTCATTTATTTCTCAAGGCTAGCTAGGTGCCTGGAATTTCCCTTGAAGAAACTCAAGATTTTCCTTTATTCCCATGCTTGGGTTGGGGGTGGGAAGGCAGGATCCTAAAAGGGGTCCCTGCTCTGTCTCACTTCCATTTCAGGATTTTCTTCTTTACTTGTTCTCTGAACCCCTTCCCAACTGATCTTCCTCCTGCCTCAGATCCACATTTCACATTGCCACCCAAGGATCTTCAATAACCACTTATATGAATATTGCTCTCTTACTCGGATACCTTCACTGGCTCCTCAAACTCACATTATTGAGCATGGTACTCAAGGCCCTCCCCAAGGACAAAGACCAGCTTACCCTCTTCACCCTTATTTCTACGTGCCCTAGCATTAAACTGACGTCAAAGCATATAGGATATAACTAACTACCTGCAATTTTAATGCAATGGAGCTGTTGGCTTGTAGCTATGACAGGAAAAGACATTTGACCACAGGGTATGCAGGGTATCTGGTGCAAAGGCATTCTGGCAGAGCAAACCCAACACATCAGTTTTACTGTTTCCCATGACTTGCGAATCCACCCTGGAGAGGATTTGAATCAGTTGACTTCTTCCTCTAAAACCTTCCTAGCTGCATGGCTGTTTGTGTGTGTGTGACTGCATTATTGAGTACACAAGCCTTTTGAATCAGGGATCTCAGATTTTAGAACTGTCAATTATTTCACATCATCCTAAACCTCTCTTCCCTTCCATTAGCGTGGATAATTGGAAGCTGATGAGGGTTAGCATTACACAAGGAGATAAATTCATTCAACAAACATTCAGCAAACACTCATTAAGTACCTAATGTATGCCACCTTGAGATACAGTGTAGAAGAGGACACAACCATGTAAGCATCATTACTTCAGAAGAAGAAATGCTATAATAAAGGTATGTTCAATATTAGGTGTACTGAGGGAACATAGAGACAGTGCTTCTCTAACAATCTAAAGAGGACAGGGAAGGCTTTGGGGAGAAGGTGACAAGACGTGGAGGATGTGAATCTGAGGCAAGGATAGAAGGAGAAGTAAATTTGCCAGACTTCACCCCCATACCATCAGTATAATTTGAGAAATATTTTTAAACATCATGACTGTACAGATTTTTTTAGTGGCATTATTTGGGCCATACTGAGTGATTGCTGCATGCATTTCTACTCCTTTGACCTACTTTTTCATAAGTGTCAACAGAGGCTTGCAAACAACCACTAAAATAGTGTTCACAATGTATCAGGACGGAGTTTTGAATTAGAGGCGTCCATGCTGTGCTGAAGCTGGTGGTCTTGTGAGCAGAAACACTTTGCTAAGGTTGTAAGAGAGAAGCGAAGGAAGCATAGCAGGGCAAGAGGAGGAAAGAGACAGAGCAAGCCTAAAGCTAAAGAGTTGTGAGGGGTGGAGCCCGGGTCATTCAGGGATTTTTTTAAAGTGGGTTGCTCACAATGTTTCTGGAAGAGCGTACAACTTAGCGGACAGAACCCATATGACTTGTAAATTACAAGGCAGTCATTACATAGCCAAGCTACAGGAAGGGCGCCTTCTGTTAGAGTGGCTACGTAACTCTCGATTTCAAAATGCCTATTGGTTCATTTGCAGGACTCGGCAAAAAATAAGCACAAGAGTACATCAAACTTAGCATTTTGGATCAAGCCAATTTTGTTGCCAAAGGACACTTCATGAGATCAGTAGTAGCTGCCTCTATGTTGATCATCTAAAGTCATAGAGGTACCATATTCTCAACTTCTTCCTATGAATTTCAGTTTTTAAATTACTGAGTCAAAAGCAGTAAGCATTTAAATCACTTTTGATAACTAGCCTATATAGTGTTTATCAAAAGAGCTGTATTAATTTACTGTACCACCAACAGGGTACATGTATACCAGATTCACCACGATCTGTCATACATTTAGCAAAAGTAAGTTAGTGAGTTAACAATTTATGATTTAGTATATTTACAACTGTGTCCGGAATTGATGGGTTCTTGGTCTCACAGACTTCAAGAATGAAGCCGTGGACCCTCGCGGTGAGTGTTACAGCTCTTAAGGTGGCGCGTCTGGAGTCTGTCCCTTCTGATGTTCAGATGTGTTCGGAGTTTCTTCCTTCTGGTGGGTTCAGTGGTCTTGCTGGCTCAGAAGTGAAGCTGCAGACCTTTGCGGTGAGTGTTACAGCTCTTAAGGCAGGGTGTCTGGAGTTGTTCGTTCCTCCTGGTGGGTTCGTGGTCTCGCTGGGTTCAGGAGTGAAGCTGCAGATCTTCGCGATGAGTGTTACAGCTCATAAAAGCAACGTGGACCCAAAGAGTGAGCAGTAGCAAGATTTATTGCAAAGGGCAAAAGAACACAGCTTCCACAGTGTGGAAGGGGACCCCAGCGGGTTGCCAATGCTGGCTCGGTCAGCCTGCTTTTATTCTCTTATCTGGCCCCACCCACATCCTGCTGATTGGTAGAGCTGAGTGGCCTGTTTTGTCAGGCTGCTGACTGGTGCTTTTACAATCCCTGAGCTAGATACAAAGGTTCTCCACCTCCCCATCAGATTAGTTAGATACAGAGTTTTGACACACACGTTCTCCAGGGCCCCACCAGAGCAGCTAGATACAGAGTATTGATTGGTGCACTCACAAACCTTGAGCTAAACACAGGGTGCTGATTGGTGTATTTACAATCCCTGAGCTAGATATAAAGACTCTCCACGTCCCCACCAGACTCAGGAGCCCAGCTGGCTTCACCTAGTGGATCCCGCACCGGGGCTGCAGGTGGACTGCCTGCCAGTCCTGCGCCGTGCGCTCGCATTCCTCAGCCCTTGGGTGGTCGATGGGACTGGGCACCGTGGAGCAGGGGTTGGTGCTCGTCGGGGAGGCTGGGGCCGCACAGGAGCCCATGGAGTGGGTGGGAGGCTCAGGCATGGTGGGCTGCAGGTCCCAAGCCCTGCCCCACGGGAAGGCAGCTAAGGCCCGGTAAGAAATCGAGCACAGCGCTGGTGGGCCGGCACTGCTGGGGGACTCAGTACACCCTCCGCAGCCACTGGCCCGGATGCTAAGTCCCGCATTGCCCGGGGCCAGCAAGGCTGGCTGGCTGCTCCGAGTGTGGAGCCCACCAAGCCCACGCCCACCCGGAACTCCAGCTGGCCTGCAAGCGCCGCACGCAGCCCGGGTTCCCGCTCGTGCCTCTCCCTCCACACCTCCCTGCAAGCTGAGGGAGTGGGCTCCAGCCTTGGCCAGCCCAGAAAGGGGCTCCCACAGTGCAGTGGGGGGGCTGAAGGGCTCCTCAAATGCCGCCAAAGTGGGAGCCCAGGCAGGGGAGGTGCCGAGAGCAAGCGAGGGCTCTGAGGACTGCCAGCACGCTGTCACCTCTCAAAACAGTACCTTAACAATGGTTTAACGTGCATTCAACAAACATCCAGGAAACAATTATTAAGCACTTAATGTACTTTGATTACTGGAGTTATCTTTTTAGGCTGGCCCAAAGCCACTAGAAAGGTCCATTTGAATCAGGCATCATTGCTGATTTGATGATTTCTCCCTTTCCTTCATCCGCCATAGGAATCAACATATATATATATGTGTGTGTATGTATACATATGTATATATACAGTCATTGAGTTCTTTTGACTCTCTCTTTCAAAGGTCTCTTACATCTATCTATCCTACTATTTTTATTCCTGCTACCATCAGCATAGTTCATAGTGCAGAAAGCTTAAGTCTGTGCTACTGAAAATGTCTTCACAGGTCTCTCTGCCTTCAGTCTTCCCCATGGTAATAATCACAACTCATTTACTGAGCAACTACTATGAGCCAAGCTGACTGCTGGGTGTTTCATAGACATTACCTCCCACAACAACCCCATGGGGCAGATATTAACTCCACTTTACAGATGAGGAAACTGAGACACAGAAAATTAAGATAATCACTGAATTTACCCAACAGTAAGTGGAAGAGCAGATATTTTAACCTGAGTCTGAGTCCAAAACCTGTGTCCTCAATGAAACATTTCTCGAATCAGTCCTCTAACCCATTCTAAACATTCCTGTACTTGTTAAGTCATTGCCTCTTAACTTCAAACCCCTCCTATGATACCCAGCTTTGTGATGCTCAGCTGGGACTCTGCAAAACAGTCCGCTTTGCCAGTTAGCTCTGTGTTGGGCTCTGCCAATAGGGGGTGCTAGAGGAAGAGCTCAAGGCTGGAGGAGGGAGGACAAAGTCCTCAAAGCAGCCCAACTACCTGCTTCCCGTGGACTTCCTGTGAGCATCACTTCTGTGGAACTTCATCCCAACAGCAGCAGTTCTGTCCCACAGTAGCAGCTAAAATGCAGTTTGCCATTTTCCCAACACTTACAGAATGAGTTTTATCACATCCCCCTCAAAGATGCCAGCATTAGCCAGCAGGTGCCCCTTTTCCGAGATGCGGGTCCCAGCCCCACTTAGGCCCTCCTCCCAAACAGTATCTCCTCTTCAAGTCTGAGCTTTGGCTTCTCAGAGCTGCTCCTCTTCAGCTTCCAGGGTTTAGTCATTCTAATATCTTCCTTTTGTTCCCTCAGCCGTAGGGGTGGTAGTGTTTTGATGCTAACTTCATAATATCTTAGAGTTCCTTTTTACCTGTTCAAGTATCTAGTTAACACATTTATACCTCATTAGCAATTCTGGAGGAGCTGTTGCCAGAAGGAACTTACTCCAGAAAGCAAGTGAACCTGAGTGATGCAAGGAGTGAAACATATTGGATACTGTGTTGTTCCCCCAAGTCCCCTCTTTTGGGCCACAGCACCCATCTTCCAGTTGCTGGGGGTATCTACAGCTGCATCCCCTGGGTTTCATGGAACTGCCTCACCCAAGGCTACAGCCCCTGTCAGCAGTGTCTCATGGCCAATGACCTGCTGAATGAGGGCATATAAAGGCCAACCCCCTTGCCTTAATCTGGGCTCCAGGATTCCTGTGGGATCAGCAGAAGCCTCAGGAGCTACCTCATTGTGAGTCACTTTCTCCCTCTGCCCAATCTTCCTGCTTTCCTCACTTATTTCCATGTGTTTCTCCCCAGAGTATTCCCAATAAACCTTCTGCAGGTAACTGTCTATCTCAGTCTTTTTCCAAGTATTTCTGGTACGCTAACCTTAATTAGTGATATCCAACATCACAAATTAGTGATGTCTGTAGAGATTTCGATGGGCACTATGATTGAACTTGGAGTGGTGGAGAGCAAATACCAAGAAGAAAACTATTGCTACAGGAACAGTTGATAAATCCCATCTCCATAAACCCAAAGCAAAATAACAACAATATAGAACTATCATTCCTGAAAAATAGCCTAATGCAGGAAGGGTGTGGTAGTCACATCCTGGTAGCATTTTCAGGATATTTTTGTTGTTCTGTGTTTTCAACTACTTTTTAGCTTTAACAAGTCAAATTGCCTTGCTACCCCGAGGCCGCTTCAGAATACATATGCTGCATTGGTACTTGAAATCTGCATATCTTATTTTTGTTTTCCACTGCCTGTAATTCTATAAATAAAAGGGAAAATAATGTATGAAATTTCAACTTATCTGCAATTCATATTATATAAAACATTAACTTTTGGGAAGAAGGAATTGATTTAAATTATTAAAACCCTAAAAATGCTAATACACAAAACAGTCATCTCTCATAACATTATGTATTCTAAGAAGTTGCTACTTGAGTTTTTCAAAGGCTTACTCATGAACTAATTTTCTCAGTCTGCAAACAAATTTAAGTGTTCATAAATGCCATTAAAATTATATCCTGCAGTTTTGAAACAATATTCAATTCATTTTTAATGAAAGAAAATATATATAAAGGAGATAAAATATTCTTCAATTAGTGTTATGGTTTATACTTCAGGCAAAGAATAAAGCCTCCCTGAAATATTTCAAGAAAATTGACTATTTTTGGTTTATTTTTAATATCATTATAAGCCATAACTACATTTTGTTTTAGGGAGATAAACATTTATCACAACCAAATGTATGCCTACCAGAAGTTTGATTATCTGAATAAACTCGAGTTGAGGAATATTTAATATGTCACTTAAAGTTAATACCTAGGAAGAAGTCTCAATTAAATCCCAGGTATAGAGGTGAGTCCTCATGTTTTATTTGGCCTGATATGATATTGCTGGGTCTTTCTTAAGGCCTTAAGATAGTGCTGTGAAAATGTCATTTGTATATTTTTATGATACCTGCATTTTGTTTGGATGTATTTTATATGTTCTTATTTATACCGTAGCTTATACTTCCTGACAGTTTTTCATTTTAAATTGGATCATAAATATCCTTCACTTAATAGTTTCTTGATTTTCCTCTTTGCCATTTCTTCAGATTTTATCTTCAAAATAACCTCTCATTTTCTTGACTTCCTGGATAGCACAGAGAAGAAGACACATTCTTCTCTGAACAAGGGGGAGGAAGGAAGGAATTACAATAAGAAGCCTAGGTAGAGGAAGAGTGGGCAGTGAGATACTTTTCCTGCTATCAAATGTCTTCTCTAACATTTAGAAAGGTGTGGAAAGGCCGCTAGTTTAAAGACTAACAAACTAGGAAGGCTGACCACATATTAGCAGAGTTTAATATTTTAACCAACTGAATATTAAATTTATACACAAACACAAGATTAAATACATACTCGTTAATATGCTACCTAGCAACTAGGGCTAGCTATTTAACCAGTACATATAGGTAACTGTAACTGAGTCCTTGAACTGTGGTTAAAACCTTCTGAAAATATTTGTGCGTGTGTGTGTGTGTGTGTGTGTGTGTGTGTATTTACACTGCTCCTAAATTGACAATGGATTTCAGGAGACTCTAGAATTATATATACAGTGAAGTAGGAAAGTTGAATTAAAAAACAAACAAAAAAAACAGAAACAACTAGTGTGCTGGTGTTTGCTGGTTACAAAGCAACCAGTCCCCTTTTCCCTCCTCCTACCTTTACCTTTGTTTTTGTTTTTTTTTACCTCCCCAGTGTAACTGGGAGAAAACTGACCCCACTACCAGATCCAGGGTTCTGATTAGTCTAAATCAATCAGGATCTTACGATCTGGATTAGGCCATTTTTGCATTGCTATAAAGAAATACCTGAAGGCCGGGTAATTAATAAGGAAAAGAGGTTTAATTGGCTCATGGTTCTAGGATGCACAAGCATGGCACCAACATTTGCTTACTTCTGGTGAGGGTCTCAGGAAGCTTACGATCATGGTGGAAGGTGAAGAGGGAGCAGGCATATCACATGGTAACAGAGGGAGCAAGAAGGGGAGGGAAGTCCCAGACTTTTAAACAACCAGATCTTATGTGAAATAAAGGAGCAAAAATTCATTTATCAGCAAGAGGATGGTGCTAAACCATTAAGGAGGGATCCATCCCCATTATCCAATCACCTCCCACTAGGCCTCACCTCCAAAACTGGGAATCACATTTCAACATGAGATTTGGCAGGAAGAGACATCCAAACCTTATTACTGTCTCTCATGTGACAATGCATGGGAGGCCCCTGTTCATAGGTATGGACATAGGACCCTTTGGCAGTCTTAAAACATGGCCCCCAAATTCTTTGACAGCCTTCCTATTGAGAGGTAGAATTTCTGTCTCCTCCCCTTAAATCTAGTCTTTTTGATTTCTTGACTAATAGAATGTGGCAGAACTGACAGTTATGTTAGAAAATACCAGTTCCTACTCCCTGTCTCTTGGGATACTTTGCTTTGGAAACACAACAACCATGCTGTGAGGAAGCCCAAAGCAGCTCATGAAGAGACCCACAGGGAGAGTAATCCAGGTCTCTGGCCCTCAATTCCAGCTAAGCCACCACCTGACAACTAGCACCAATTTGCCAGCTGTGTAGGTGAACCATCTTGGAAATGAATCCTCCACCCAATTCATAAGCTAAATAAATTGTTATTTTAAGCCACTAAATGGGTTTACAAAGCAACAATACATAACTAGAACACTGATACTTGACACCTTGTAGGTGAACTTTTTTTCTTTCTCTTGAGAAGTTTAGGCTCTTTCGTTAATCCCTCATGAAGTTTAATGTTAACACCTTTTTTCTTTCCTTTTCATTTCCTTCCTTCTTTTTTTTCTGACATTTGGTGATCCTTTTTAATAACAATAATAATAATAATAATAAATCCTGCAATTCTAGGGAATGTCTTTGATAATCTTCTTTTGGTAATTATCTCCCTTTCATTTTCTCTGTTCTTTCTTTCTGGAACTCTGTGTGAGACAAATTGGATCTGCTGATTGATTTTCAAATTCTCTTTCCTTTTGTTCATCTTTTTTTCTATTTTTCTTCCAACCCTGATATTGAATTTTTAAGTTGAGCTATCAGATATTTAACTTTCAAGAGCTCTGTCTTGTTCTTTGATTCTCCCTTTTAAATAGGATTCTATTCTTTTTTCCATGGATCAAATAAGTCTCTTTTCTCTTTGGAGACATTTATCTTCAGGATTTTTTAAAAATAAAAACCCTTCTGCTTTTGATGTCATATATATTTCTTCAGTATTCCTATTCTCTGTTTCCTTAAGTTTCTCTTTTATTTTGGAGGCATTTAGTGTTCAAATATCTGGTAATCCTTGGCTACAGATTCATAGTTTAAGACAAGAGTCTGTCTAGTTTAGTCTACCTACTGGAAATCAGTTTCAATTGCAATTGAGTTTAATAATTTTTTGAGGGTTGCTTTATAAAATGTCTAATTCTAAGCATTTCCAAGGTTATGAAAAGGAATAAAACAAAGCCCTCAAGAAGTTTATAACCTAGTACAGTAGTCTTATTAGTCTCTTCTCATGCTGCTAATAAAGACATACCCAAGACTGATTAATTTATAAAGAAAAAGAGGTTTAATGGACTCACAGTTCCACATGGCTGGAGAGGCCTCACAATCATGGCAGAAGGTGTGGAGGAGCAAAGGCATGTCTTACCTGGCAACAGGCAAGAGAGCTTGTGCAGGGGAACTCCCCTTTATAAAACCATGAGATCTTATGAGGCTTACTCATTATGACCAGAACAGCATGGGAAAGACCTGCCCCCATAATTCAGTTACCTCCCACCAGGTCCCTCCCACAACATGTGGAATTATGAGCGCTACAATTCAAGATGAGATCTGAGTGGGACACAGCCAAACCATATCAGTAGTAATTTTTTTTTTCTCTCAATCTTTATTTCTTTGCCTGTTTTTACTGAACTGGCTAGGCTTCCTGATAAAATGCTACATAGAAGCAGTGACAGGGATTTTATTGAATCTGTAGATGAATTTAAGGAGTATTGCCATCTTAATAACATTATTAAGTCTTCTGATCCATAAATGTGAGATTTTTTCCATTTATTTAAATCTTCTTTAATTTTTTTCACAGTGTTTTATAGATTTCAGATTTTAAGTTTTGCACTTATTCAGTAAAATGTATTCCTAAATGTTTTATTCTTTTTGATGCTATTATAAATGAAATTTTCTTAATTTCATTTTTCAATTGTTTATTGCAAGTATATAGAAATAGGATTTATTTTTATATATTGATCTTGTCCCCAGCAAGCTGGATAAACTAATCTATTAGTACTAGTATTTTGTGTGTGTGGACTCCTTAGGAATTTCTATATACAAGATCATGCCATTTGCAGTAGAAAGAATTTTAATTATTTCTTTCCAAACTTGATGGTTTTATTTTGTTTTCTTGCTTTATTGCCCTGGCTAGAACCTCTAGTACGACACAGAATAAATGTTTTAAGTACAGACATCTTGTCTTGTTCCTGTTCTTAGTCGGGAAGTCTTCCACTATTAAGAATGATGTTAGCTGTGAATTTTTTGTAGATGTCCTTCAGGAGGTTGAGGAAGTTCTCTTCTATTTCTAGTATTGTCAGTGTTTTTTTTGTACTTTATCATAAAAGTGTATAAAATTTTTTAAAATACCTTTTCTGCATTTATTAAGATAATGTGATTTTGGTTTTTTATTCAGTTGCTATGGCATAGTACATTAATTGACTTTTAGATATTATTAAGTTGGTGCAAAAGTAATTGCAGTTTAATAAAACAACCATGCATACCTGGTGTATATCCCACTTGATCATGATATATCATTATGTTTATACATTGCTGAATTTAGTTTGCTGGCATTTTGTAGAAGATTTTTATGTCCATATTCATAAGAATATTGGTTTATAGTTTTCTTGTGGTGTTCTTGTATGGTTTGGTATTTCCTCTTCTATTTTTTGGGTACAGTTTGTGAAGAATACATCTTAATTCATCTTTAAATGTTTCGAAGAATTTACTACTGAAGATATCTGGCATGGGCATTTCTTTGGAGGTAGTTTTTTGATTACTAATTCAAACCCTTACTTCTTATAGGTCAATTAATGTCTATTTCTTCTTAAGTCAGTTTCAGGAGTTTGTGTTTTTTAGGAATTTTTCTGCTTTATCTAAGTTATCTAATGTATTGGCATACAATTGTTCATAGTGTTCTTTATAATCTTTTTATTTCTGTAAGGTTTCTAGTAATATCTGCTTTTTATTTCTAGTTTTAGTGATTTATGTTGTTGTTTTATTTCTTGGTCAATCTAGCTAAATATTTGTCAGTTTGTTGAACTTTTCAAAGAACCAGCTTTCAGTTTCATTGCTTTTCTCTATTGTTTTTTAATTCTCTATTTAATTAGTTTCCACTGTAATCATTATTATTTCCTTCTTTCTGCTTGGTTTGGGTTTAGTTTGTTCTACTTTATTCTTGTGTTTTAAAATAGAAAATCAGATTATTGATTTATGACCTTTTTTTACTGTAGGCATTTACAGCTATACATTTTCTTTTGAGCACTGCTTTAACTCCATCCCATATGTTTTAAATATGTTGTATGTTCATTTTTATTCACATCAAAGTATTTTCTACTTTCTTTTTTGATTGTGTTTGATTCATTGATGATTTAGGAGTGTGTATTTTGATTTCCACACATTTGCATGTTTTACAACTTTTTTCTGTTATTGATTTCTAATTTAATTTCATTGTGGTTGAAGAACATACTTTGTATTATTTCTTTCCTTTTAAATGTATTCAAGTTTGTTTTGTTGCCTAGCATATGTTCTATTCTGGAGAATGCTCCATGCGCAGTTGAGAAGAATGTGCTGTTGTTGTTGGATAGAGTGTTCCATAGATGTCTATTAGGGTAAGTTTGTTTACAGTTGTCCCAGTCTTCCAATTCCTTATTCATCTAGTTGTTCTATTCATTATTGAAAGTGGGGTATTGAAGTTTCTGGCTAATTGTCAATTTCTTTATTTCTGTTGGTAGTTTTTGCTTTGGGTATTCTGATGCTCAGTTGTTAGGTACATATTAATTTATAATTGTCATATCTTTCTGATGGATTGGTCCCTTTATCCATATAAAATATCCTTCTTTATTTCTAAAAATTTTCTTCGTTTAAAAGTCTATTTTTTCTGATATACGTATAGCCACTCCATTTTTTTATGGTTGGTGTGTATAATATATGCATTTTATCATCTTTGACTTTCAATGTATTTGTACCTTTGAATATAAACTGTGTCTCTTGTAGACAGCATATAGTTAGATCTTGTTTTTTATCCATTCTGACAATCTCTGTTTTGTGATTGGGATATTTAATCTGTTCACGTTTAATATTAAATAGCTTATTTAATACATATTAAATATATTACAGATAATTGTACATATATCTAATCTCATTAATAAATAAATATAAATAATTATTTGATGACATAGTTGGGCTTATGATGTGATACAATACAGTTAATATGGTTGGATTCATGTTTGCCATTTTGTTTTTTGGTTTTTATATGTTTCTTTTTTTTTTTTTGATCCTCCATTCCTCTTGTACTGCTTTTTTTTTTGCGTTAAGTGAATATTTTCTAATGAAGCATTTAAATTTCTTACTGATATTTTGATATTGCTCTAGAGTTTACCATATTCATCCTAACTTATTGAAATAACCTTCAGATTTATAGTAACAATTCCAATGTGACATAGAAATGTTTTTCTATATAGCTCTATTAATTTCCTCCCCTTTTGTGGCATTATTATTATACATATTACATTTATACATGTTAAAAACACAAGAATACATTGTTATAGTTATTATTTTATATAATTTTGTCTTTTAAAGAAGCTAATAGAAGAAAAGACAACAAGTTTATATTTATAGCTTTTGTTATATTAACCTGTTTATTTGTCATTTCTGGTTCTCTTTGTTTCCGTGGATTCAAGTTACCAGCTGGATTCATTTTCTTAGCTCAATAAAGCTTTGCTCTTATCCACCTCTTTTGTGCTGTTAATGGCAAATATATTACATTTCTTTTCCTTCCTTTCTTTCTTCTTTCTCTCCTTCCTTCCCCTCCTTCCTTCCCCTTCCTTCCTTCCTTCCTTCCTTCCTTCCTTCCTTCCTTCCTTCCTTCTTTTCTTTCTCTTTTGTTTCCCTCGATCTGTCACTCAGGCTAGAGTAGAGTGACACAATCATAGCTCACGGCATCCTCAAACTCCTGGGCTCAAGCAATCTTCCTGCCTCAACCTCCCAAGTAGTTAAGACTACAGGCATGTGCCACCATGTCTGGCTAATTTTTTTAAAAAAAAAAAAGCTTGTAAAAATGAGATCTAAGATCTCATTTTACTGCCCAGACTAGTCTTGAACTCCTAGCCTCAAGCAATACTCCCACCTTGGCCTCCCAAAATGTTGGGATGACAGACATGAGCCATCGCACCTGGTGTGAATATATTTCTGTATGTATTATATGTCCAACAATTTGTTATATACTGTTTATACAACAGATGCATTTATCAGCTGAAACTTTGAATATAATTACAATTTCCCCCCCATCTCCTCATTCTTTATCTATATGTGGTTAAGAGATAGTTTAGGGCTGGGCATGGTGGCTTACACCTGTAATCCCAGCACTTTGGGAGGCCAAGGTGGGAGGATTGCTTGAGCCCAGGAGTCCGAGACCAGCCTGGGAAAGACAGTGAGACCCTGTCTCTACAAAAAATAAAAAATAAAAAAATTAGCTGAGTGTGGTGATGCATGCTTGCAGTCTCAGCTACTTGGGAGACTGAGGTGGAAGGATCAGTTGAGCCCCGGAGGTTGAGGTTGCAGTGCGCCATGTTTGTGCCACTGCACTTCAGCCTGTGCAACAGAGAAAGACTGTCTCAAAGAAAAAAAAAATGGGGGTAGTAGAGGAAAAGGAAAAGACCATGACTGATTTGTAGTTGGCCTGGGGAAGGTAATTCTCAGCAAGAAGAAACACATGGAATAAATGACCAAATCAGGTTATTTTGGCAGTGCTTGTAATATGCAACAATATTGTGCAGAAATTAAGAGCACATACTTTTTTAGTCAATTAGACTGTTACTTCCTGGTTGAGAGACTTTGAGCAAGCGCTACTTTGTTTTTCTGAGCTTCCATTTCCTCTTCAGTATTAATGGGTATAATAATATCTATGTGGTGTGGGAGCTAAGTGATGTAACGTATGCCAGGTGTTCAATAAAAATAGCTATTATGGTCAGCTCAGAAATAAAAATTCAGAGCACACCCACGGAAGACTAGGGAGTACACCAGTGGAAGGACTATGGCCAACAGGGATAATGGCCTACAGTTATTCTGGATGTCATTAGTAGGGCTATTGCACTAAAAGGCAAAGTGGAATTTAGGGACCACGGATGTAGAACTAATGAGTATGATGTGAAGCTTTTCTAATATTTTATCCTTGTCTTAGTGCACTGCTGCACACATTTGAAAAACAGATTGTCAAAATCCCTTGTGTCTACACAGTAGGGTAGTTTTGGATTCATTATTTCTATGGCAAAACATCTTATTTGTAGGTCTTTTATTTACATGCATATTTGCTGGAGAGCTGAAAAAGCAGAATGAGGAGACGAGGGAATACTTGGCATTGCCACACTCTCTTTGTTTTTCTTGGAATCATGATACAAATTGCTTAGGAAAAAAGATAAAGATGCTAATTCAAGAATAGTATCTTAATTTGTTGACTGTGGATATGATAACAGCAGGTAGCAGAGCACTCAGGTAATGAGAAAAATCTTTTATCAACAGAGGACATACCTTTACTATGTTTTTTGCAATTACAATTATATAACTCCCAAATATTTCTTTCTTTCTTCATGGTGTTTTAAATAATTCCTTTTATAAAATGTACAGGTTGTAATTAAACAAGTTCATGGGCAGAACTTTTCACAATATCCCTGTTTTAGAGAAAATTATCAGGGAAAAAAACTCATAAAGAGAACTGGAAAGTGGCCTGGCCTGCTAAAGCAGCTGATGTCAGCTTTTGGGAGCCAGCATGTCCCCCATGTGGGAAGATAGGGCAGAGTCCTTTATCAAACAAGGCAACAGGTGTCCCCCTGAAGAGCTACTCCCTCTTCTTCTCCTGGCTGCTAAGTAAATCATGAAGATTCAATCCTAGCATGTCCAGCTGGGGACATACTACATCTGAAAGGGGAGGAAAGAGATTATACCCCCAAAGCAGCTGCAAGAATTAACTAACATATACTAGCAGGAGCCAGAGTGCTTGATCAAAGAAGCTAGAAAGTAAGATGCAATAAAGCAAGAGTTCATTGACTCACGGACACTTCTCAGTGGAAGAAGGGGTGGTTCTTAGAAACCTGCAGAAATTGATGGTTCATACTAAGTGAAGTTGAAATGCCTGAGTGGCCATGGCAGATGGTGGCAGAAGGGATTTAAATGGTCAAGGAGATGGGCATGTTGAAATATATATATGATGTGAGGCCAGAAGACCCACCAGAAGATTATTTTCCACAGCAGGGCCTAGAAGTCACATCATTTACCAAACTGTCAGGAACGTGCTGATAAAACAAGCACCAACATTGCTAAGAAGATCGAGGTTGGCTTTTCTCTGTAGGCCAGGGCTGACCATAGGAGATGCAGTCACAGAGCTGGGCTCATCAATAGCAATGGGGATAGTGAGGTTCTGAAACAAAAAGGCCAGTTGTTGACCCTTAATCGCCGGAAGCCAGAGCAAAACAATTATGATATTGATTGACAAATTTGTAGAGACAGCCAAGGGGATCTAATCTACAAGGAAGCTGTGGAGACTAGGTGAACGTGGCATCCCTAGGAGCAAGATAAATGGGAAACCAACAAGAGTGCTGCCTCATAGAATCAAAAGAAAGCAAAAATGGGTGAATAGAAGGCTGAGGGCAGTTTCCCCAACAAAAAAGTTGTGATTCCTTGCTAAATTCCTAAGATAACTGGATCTAAGCCAATTTTCAGACTCTAAACCTATTGACTGAAAAGGTGAATAGGTCCCTAGGAAAAATACAAAGATTTCTCTAGACCTCCCCAAAGGGACCTACAGCCATTTACTCAGGTGACTACCCACTGGAGCAAGAAGAATGCCAAGGCATTTTGAGGACTGTTGGACATGGGAACTAAGTTGATCTAGAAATATAAAGGGTCATATCATAGTCATTCTGTTTCAACGATGGTATATGCAGACCTATTGGAATACATCCAACCTGGAAGAAGCACTGAACAACCAAGAAGGCACTACCTAGCCTTGATCATCAGGTACCCCAAAACTAGTATAATGGGCACATGAACAGAGTGATTGTGGTGTCAGAGATGGAATCTATGCATGAACTCAATAGCATGGAGTCCCACTTACCAGGGCCTTTCTAACTGCCACATATGAATGTCCGACCTGCCAGCAATGAGACCAATGTTGAGGTCACTTATGGCATTATTCCTTGAGAGACCAACTGGCCACTTGGTTTTAAGTTTTCTATACTGGGTCTTTTCCATCCTGAAAGGGCTAGAGATCCATTTGCACAGGAAAAGAAACTTACTTCAGGTATGGATTTGCCTTTCTCACCTGCAGAGCCTCAGTCAGCACCACTAATAGGGAGCTTATGGAACAGGTGACTCATAGGCATGAAATCCCTCACAGTGTAGCATCTGGCCAGGATATCCACTTCAGAGTGAAAGAGTTGTACAAGAAGACCAATAATCATAGAAGCTACTGGTTGTATCACACCTTCCAGAAGCAGCTGGTCTGACAGAGCATTGGAATGACTCGTTCAAGGCAGAATTACAGTGTCAGCTTGGAAACATACTTTGCAAGCGTGGGATGACATCCTATCATATGCAGTATATACGTGTACATTGAATCAAGTTTCTATGTATAGCTTGGGATCAAGAGGTGGAAGCATGAGATCCCCATTTACCATCATTTTCATTGACCCAATGAGGCACTTTGTGCTTCCTGTGCCCACAGTTCTGGGCTCTGCAGCATTTGAGGTCCTAGTCCCCCCCAAAAGAGCAGTGGTGCCAGGGTCCCATTGATCTACAAGCTAAAGCCCATCTGCGTACTTTGTACTTCTATGTTCAGAGATCAGCTGAGAGAAGAAGAGTCACCATCTTGTCAGTCATGATTGACCTTGGTTATCAAGTGGAGATAAGGCTGCTGTTATACAATAAGGGCAGAAAGTAATATCAATGGAATGCAAAGGATTCTCTTTGAGTGCCTCCTGGTACTCTCTTCACCAGTTGTGATGAGGCATGAAAAAGTGCAGCAACTCTGACTTGATTAAGGGGTCAGGAGCTCAGACTTCGCAGAAATCAGGGTTTGACACCACCAGATAAGCCCTTGAGACAGAAAGAAGTGATAGCTTAGTGTGAATAAAATTAGCATGGTTAGTTGAAGAGGAAGATGATGAGTACCATTGCAACCCTATGAACAACTGTAGAGATTGGTACTGCGGTTAATCCCACTAATCTCCTTCTTCTAAGTTTCCAGGAAAAGAGGCTACTATAAGCCAGGGAGATGTTGAATGATATTCTGAAATGTTCAAGGCAAGAAATGCTCTCTCCTTGCAGAGACTGAGTAAAAGACTGAACATAATAGGGGGAACTGGGGTTTGGCCATTTATATACAAGGAGAAATTCTTGTAACAGGCAATCTTTGCCCTGGAGCTTGCTATCAGGCTGGCTGAAACCTTCTCAGAGTTGCACCATAGCTCTTTTCACCTCCTTCCTTCCTCTTCTCACTTCACAGGGGTCAGACCTGCACTGCGGCCTGGTGACCTTCTATACCTACTTCTACTCCTTTTTCCCTGTTCTTTCAAGGCATTAGCCTCGGTAAATCTCTTGCACTTCTAACTATATTTTGACATTTGCTTCCAAGACAGCTCAAACTGACATGCCAACTATGAGACTTCCCAGTTTATGCATTTCCATGACTTGAGGAAGTAGATTTCCATGTTTATTTTTTAAACTTTTTTCTTTTTTAAAAAAAATAAAGTTATATGTGAACAAAGCTTAAAAAGTAAAATAGTTCTACAAGATTTGTTATTTTAAAAAAACAGCATCCTCCTGGCCCTCTCTTACCATTTTCTTTCTCTTTTTTTTTTTTTTTTTGTTTTTCTTCTTGAATTTATTCACTTTTACAAAAATGCATTTGAAAGAGTGATTACTCTGAAAAGATTAACATTTTTTAGCTTGCATATGAAGTTTGTTGCCACAAGTCATTTTAATATTATTCTTGAAGAATACTCAGCATGGCAGATACGCTTCCAGATCTATATAGAATGTCTCCTAAGGCTTTAGTATGTTTTCTCTAAATAAGTAATAGTTACAGAGATATAATTTAACTGGTTGAAAGATAGGGAAAATACCACTTACCACAAGCTCATAAAACTTTTACATAAGCAGTTCACTAATATGGGTGACCATAATGTATATGATAAAAGCCCCTCTCAAGCTTGGGAATATGTGGTCATTTGGGATGGTTTTCTTTTTTTTTTTTTTTAATTTTTTTTTTTTATTATACTCTAAGTTTTAGGGTACATGTGCACATTGTGCAGGTTAGTTACATATGTATACATGTGCCATGCTGGTGCGCTGCACCCACTAACGTGTCATCTAGCATTAGGTATATCTCCCAATGCTATCCCTCCCCCCTCCCCCGACCCCACCACAGTCCCCAGAGTGTGATATTCCCCTTCCTGTGTCCAAGTGATCTCATTGTTCAATTCCCACCTATGAGTGAGAATATGCAGTGTTTGGTTTTTTGTTCTTGCGATAGTTTACTGAGAATGATGGTTTCCAATTTCATCCATGTCCCTACAAAGGACATGAACTCATCATTTTTTATGGCTGCATAGTATTCCATGGTGTATATGTGCCACATTTTCTTAATCCAGTCTATCATTGTTGGACATTTGGGTTGGTTCCAAGTCTTTGCTATTGTGAATAGTGCCGCAATAAACATACGTGTGCATGTGTCTTTATAGCAGCATGATTTATAGTCCTTTGGGTATATACCCAGTAATGGGATGGCTGGGTCAAATGGTATTTCTAGTTCTAGATCCCTGAGGAATCGCCACACTGACTTCCACAATGGTTGAACTAGTTTACAGTCCCACCAACAGTGTAAAAGTGTTCCTATTTCTCCACGTCCTCTCCAGCACCTGTTGTTTCCTGACTTTTTAATGATTGCCATTCTAACTGGTGTGAGATGATATCTCATAGTGGTTTTGATTTGCATTTCTCTGATGGCCAGTGATGATGAGCATTTCTTCATGTGTTTTTTGGCTGCATAAATGTCTTCTTTTGAGAAGTGTCTGTTCATGTTCTTCGCCCACTTTTTGATGGGGTTGTTTGTTTTTTTCTTGTAAATTTGTTTGAGTTCATTGTAGATTCTGGATATTAGCCCTTTGTCAGATGAGTAGGTTGCGAAAATTTTCTCCAATGTTGTAGGTTGCCTGTTCACTCTGATGGTAGTTTCTTTTGCTGTGCAGAAGCTCTTTAGTTTAATTAGATCCCATTTGTCAATTTTGGCTTTTGTTGCCATTGCTTTTGGTGTTTTGGACATGAAGTCCTTGCCCACGCCTATGTCCTGAATGGTAATGCCTAGGTTTTCTTCTAGGGTTTTTATGGTTTTATGTCTAACGTTTAAATCTTTAATCCATCTTGAATTGATTTTTGTATAAGGTGTAAGGAAGGGATCCAGTTTCAGCTTTCTACATATGGCTAGCCAGTTTTCCCAGCACCATTTATTAAATAGGGAATCCTTTCCCCATTGCTTGTTTTTCTCAGGTTTGTCAAAGATCAGATAGTTGTAGATATGTGGCATTATTTCTGAGGGCTCTGTTCTGTTCCATTGATCTATATCTCTGTTTTGGTACCAGTACCATGCTGTTTTGGTTACTGTAGCCTTGTAGTATAGTTTGTAGTCAGGTAGTGTGATGCCTCCAGCTTTGTTCTTTTGGCTTAGGATTGACTTGGCGATGCGGGCTCTTTTTGGGTTCCATATGAACTTTAAAGTAGTTTTTTCCAATTCTGTGAAGAAAGTCATTGGTAGCTTGATGGGGATGGCATTGAATCTGTAAATTACCTTGGGCAGTATGGCCATTTTCACGATATTGATTCTTCCTACCCATGAGCATGGAATGTTCTTCCATTTGTTTGTGTCCTCTTTTATTTCCTTGAGCAGTGGTTTGTAGTTCTCCTTGAAGAGGTCCTTCACATCCCTTGTAAGTTGGATTCCTAGATATTTTATTCTCTTTGAAGCAATTGTGAATGGGAGTTCACTCATGATTTGGCTCTCTGTTTGTCTGTTGTTGGTGTATAAGAATGCTTGTGATTTTTGTACATTGATTTTGTATCCTGAGACTTTGCTGAAGTTGCTTATCAGCTTAAGGAGATTTTGGGCTGAGACGATGGGGTTTTCTAGATAAACAATCATGTCGTCTGCAAACAGGGACAATTTGACTTCCTCTTTTCCTAATTGAATACCCTTTATTTCCTTCTCCTGCCTGATTGCCCTGGCCAGAACTTCCAACACTATGTTGAATAGGAGCGGTGAGAGAGGGCATCCCTGTCTTGTGCCAGTTTTCAAAGGGAATGCTTCCAGTTTTTGCCCATTCAGTATGATATTGGCTGTGGGTTTGTCATAGATAGCTCTTATTATTTTGAAATACGTCCCATCAATACCTAATTTATTGAGAGTTTTTAGCATGAAGGGTTGTTGAATTTTGTCAAAGGCTTTTGCTGCATCTATTGAGATAATCATGTGGTTTTTGTCTTTGGCTCTGTTTATATGCTGGATTACATTTATTGATTTGCGTATGTTGAACCAGCCTTGCATCCCAGGGATGAAGCCCACTTGATCATGGTGGATAAGCTTTTTGATGTGCTGCTGGATTCGGTTTGCCAGTATTTTATTGAGGATTTTTGCATCAATGTTCATTAAGGATATTGGTCTAAAATTCTCTTTTTTGGTTGTGTCTCTGCCCGGCTTTGGTATCAGAATGATGCTGGCCTCATAAAATGAGTTAGGGAGGATTCCCTCTTTTTCTATTGATTGGAATAGTTTCAGAAGGAATGGTACCAGTTCCTCCTTGTACCTCTGGTAGAATTCGGCTGTGAATCCATCTGGTCCTGGACTCTTTTTGGTTGGTAAACTATTGATTATTGCCACAATTTCAGAGCCTGTTATTGGTCTATTCAGAGATTCAACTTCTTCCTGGTTTAGTCTTGGGAGAGTGTATGTGTTGAGGAATGTATCCATTTCTTCTAGATTTTGTAGTTTATTTGCGTAGAGGTGTTTGTAGTATTCTCTGATGGTAGTTTGTATTTCTGTGGGATCGGTGGTGATATCCCCTTTATCATTTTTTATTGTGTCTATTTGATTCTTCTCTCTTTTTTTCTTTATTAGTCTTGCTAGTGGTCTATCAATTTTGTTGATCCTTTCAAAAAACCAGCTCCTGGATTCATTGATTTTTTGAAGGGTTTTTTGTGTCTCTATTTCCTTCAGTTCTGCTCTGATTTTAGTTATTTCTTGCCTTCTGCTAGCTTTTGAATGTGTTTGCTCTTGCTTTTCTAGTTCTTTTAATTGTGATGTTAGGGTGTCAATTTTGGATCTTTCCTGCTTTCCCTTGTAGGCATTTAGTGCTATAAATTTCCCTCTACACACTGCTTTGAATGCGTCCCAGAGATTCTGGTATGTGGTGTCTTTGTTCTCGTTGGTTTCAAAGAACATCTTTATTTCTGCCTTCATTTCGTTATGTACCCAGTAGTCATTCAGGAGCAGGTTGTTCAGTTTCCATGTAGTTGAGCGGCTTTGAGTGAGATTCTTAATCCTGAGTTCTAGTTTGATTGCACTGTGGTCTGAGAGATAGTTTGTTATAATTTCTGTTCTTTTACATTTGCTGAGGAGAGCTTTACTTCCAACTATGTGGTCAATTTTGGAATAGGTGTGGTGTGGTGCTGAAAAAAATGTATATTCTGTTGATTTGGGGTGGAGAGTTCTGTAGATGTCTATTAGGTCTGCTTGGTGCAGAGCTGAGTTCAATTCCTGGGTATCCTTGTTGACTTTCTGTCTCGTTGATCTGTCTAATGTTGACAGTGGGGTGTTAAAGTCTCCCATTATTAATGTGTGGGAGTCTAAGTCTCTTTGTAGGTCACTCAGGACTTGCTTTATGAATCTGGGTGCTCCTGTATTGGGTGCATAAATATTTAGGATAGTTAGCTCTTCTTGTTGAATTGATCCCTTAACCATTATGTAATGGCCTTCTTTGTCTCTTTTGATCTTTGTTGGTTTAAAGTCTGTTTTATCAGAGACTAGGATTGCAACCCCTGCCTTTTTTTGTTTTCCATTGGCTTGGTAGATCTTCCTCCATCCTTTTATTTTGAGCCTATGTGTGTCTCTGCACGTGAGATGGGTTTCCTGAATACAGCACACTGATGGGTCTTGACTCTTTATCCAACTTGCCAGTCTGTGTCTTTTAATTGCAGAATTTAGTCCATTTATATTTAAAGTTAATATTGTTATGTGTGAATTTGATCCTGTCATTATGATGTTAGCTGGTGATTTTGCTCATTAGTTGATGCAGTTTCTTCCTAGTCTCGATGGTCTTTACATTTTGGCATGATTTTGCAGCGGCTGGTACCAGTTGTTCCTTTCCATGTTTAGCGCTTCCTTCAGGAGCTCTTTTAGGGCAGGCCTGGTGGTGACAAAATCTCTCAGCATTTGCTTGTCTATAAAGTATTTTATTTCTCCTTCACTTATGAAGCTTAGTTTGGCTGGATATGAAATTCTGGGTTGAAAATTCTTTTCTTTAAGAATGTTGAATATTGGCCCCCACTCTCTTCTGGCTTGTAGGGTTTCTGCCGAGAGATCCGCTGTTAGTCTGATGGGCTTTCCTTTGAGGGGAACCCGACCTTTCTCTCTGGCTGCCCTTAACATTTTTTCCTTCATTTCAACTTTGGTGAATCTGACAATTATGTGTCTTGGAGTTGCTCTTCTCGAGGAGTATCTTTGTGGCGTTCTCTGTATTTCCTGAATCTGAACATTGGCCTGCCTTGCTAGATTGGGGAAGTTCTCCTGGATAATATCCTGCAGAGTGTTTTCCAACTTGGTTCCATTCTCCCCGTCACTTTCAGGTACACCAATCAGACGTAGATTTGGTCTTTTCACATAGTCCCATATTTCTTGGAGGCTTTGCTCATTTCTTTTTATTCTTTTTTCTCTAAACTTCCCTTCTCGCTTCATTTCATTCATTTCATCTTCCATTGCTGATACCCTTTCTTCCAGTTGATCGCATCGGCTCCTGAGGCTTCTGCATTCTTCACGTAGTTCTCGAGCCTTGGTTTTCAGCTCCATCAGCTCCTTTAAGCACTTCTCTGTATTGGTTATTCTAGTTATACATTCTTCTAAATTTTTTTCAAAGTTTTCAACTTCTTTGCCTTTGGTTTGAATGTCCTCCCGTAGCTCAGAGTAATTTGATCGTCTGAAGCCTTCTTCTCTCAGCTCGTCAAAATCATTCTCCATCCAGCTTTGTTCTGTTGCTGGTGAGGAACTGCGTTCCTTTGGAGGAGGAGAGGCGCTCTGCGTTTTAGAGTTTCCAGTTTTTCTATTCTGTTTTTTCCCCATCTTTGTGGTTTTATCTACTTTTGGTCTTTGATGATGGTGATGTACAGATGGGTTTTCGGTGTAGATGTCCTTTCTGGTTGTTAGTTTTCCTTCTAACAGACAGGACCCTCAGCTGCAGGTCTGTTGGAATACCCTGCCGTGTGAGGTGTCAGTGTGCCCCTGCTGGGGGGTGCCTCCCAGTTAGGCTGCTCAGGGGTCAGGGGTCAGGGACCCACTTGAGGAGGCAGTCTGCCCGTTCTCAGATCTCCAGCTGCGTGCTGGGAGAACCACTGCTCTCTTCAAAGCTGTCAGACAGGGACACTTAAGTCTGCAGAGGTTAGTGCTGTCTTTTTGTTTGTCTGTGCCCTGCCCCCAGAGGTGGAGCCTACAGAGGCAGGCAGGCCTCCTTGAGCTGTGGTGGGCTCCACCCAGTTCGAGCTTCCCGGCTGCTTTGTTTACCTAAGCAAGCCTGGGCAATGGCGGGCGCCCCTCCCCCAGCCTCGTTGCCGCCTTGCAGTTTGATCTCAGACTGCTGTGCTAGCAATCAGCGAGATTCCGTGGGCGTAGGACCCTCTGAGCCAGGTGTGGGATATAGTCTCGTGGTGCGCCGTTTCTTAAGCCGGTCTGAAAAGCGCAATATTCGGGTGGGAGTGACCCGATTTTCCAGGTGCGTTCGTCACCCCTTTCTTTGACTCGGAAAGGGAACTCCCTGACCCCTTGGCTTCCCAGGTGAGGCAATGCCTTGCCCTGCTTCGGCTCGCGCACGGTGCGCACACACACTGGCCTGCGCCCACTGTCTGGCACTCCCTAGTGAGATGAACCCGGTACCTCAGATGGAAATGCAGAAATCACCCATCTTCTGCGTCGCTCACGCTGGGAGCTGTAGACCGGAGCTGTTCCTATTCGGCCATCTTGGCTCCTCCCTCCATTTTCTTTCTCTTAACAGCCAATCCTTTCCCCTTGTTAACCTAATTAATTTGGCTTTTGTCTTCCTATTTCCAATTAACATGGTTATATTGTTACTACTTAATTTTTCAGTTTCAGACATTATCTATTCCACTGTATAAGAGGATTTAGCTGTCTTTCTTTCCCCTACTCCTACCACACACATGCACACTTGCCATATTTCTTATACTCCCCAAAGTCTTTACTCATACTTTGATTAGGTCAACATCCAATGTTTATATTGTGATAACTAAGTGATTGCTATTCAGAGCTAACCCAGGTAGTAAGCTATGATTACATTTCCTTCCATGCAAAATGAAATTAATCATGATGTGTGTGTGTATGTATCTTCTTAGTTTTTTTAATGCACTTATTCAAGCCCCAGTACCTAAATACCATCTCAAGATGTTCAGGCACATCAAATATTCTATTAATTTCATCTTCATGAAGAAGTCTCTCTCATGGAGCCTCCTGACTTGTCCCTAATAGAACTCACTGACTTCCACTTTTGGTGTCCAGGTGTTTCTCTGGTTCTCCTTACCATCATTCTAGGATTCCAAGAATTTCTATTAGAATATGTTTCTGACAAGAGTACATGTCAGAACTCCTGTTTCCTATAATTTGTGTCTTCTTTTTTTTTTTTTTGGCTTATTCCCTCATTATGTTGGAAAACATTTGCAAATAAGTATTTAAGAAAGGGTGCATAGGAGGTAACATGTTTTGAAACCATACATGTCTGACAATGTTCTTATGCTATCCTTCCACTTTATTTATAATTTTGTAGAATATAGAAGTTTAGGTTGGAAATAATTTTCCTGCAGAATTTTAAAAGCATAGCTTTATTGCTTTGTAGCTTGTATTATTGCTGCTTAGAAGTCTACAGCCAATCTGATTCAATTTACTGATCAACTATTATGCACCAGATTGTTCTATATCCAATATATCTGATTTCTGACCTTCTTGCTGTCCCTAGTATTCTAAAAGGTCATGAGAAGTGTCTTAGCGTAGGCCTCTTTTTACTAATTATACTAAGCATTCAGAGTGTCCTTTCAATCTGTAAAATCTGTTCTTCAGATATAGGAAGTTTTCTTAGATTTTTTTTTTTTTGGTTGTTGATGATTTCTTCTCTAATTTCTTTTTATTTCCTTTGATGATTTCTTCCCTTTTTCTTTCTGAAACTCCTTTTATTGGTATATTGGACCTTCTGTGTCCCCTTATTTTTGCCCCTATTTTCTATATCTTCATCTTCATCATTGTTCAACTTTCTGGGAAATGTCTTCACTTATGTTTTTCAATCCTTCTATTGACATTTTAATTTATCTTATTTTTTATTTTGAAAATCTTTTTTTGTTGTATAAGTGTCCCTTTTTATCTTGTTCTTGTTTCACTGTTGAAATATTTTCTCTTGTCTCAGGCATAAGTCAAGAGAAAAGGCAGCTCTGGGGAGGTTAGTGTTAACAGTTTGTGAATCTTATTCTAAACCTTAAACCTCCCAACTATCATGTTCTTTTGGTGTCCTAGTTCAAATGAGAGAAAGAGGTTGACTGGGATTGATTAGTCCCTGTGTGTTAGGTGTTTATTATCCCTGACCCAATCCACTATGGCCAAGGGCTTAGGCATACTACACAAACATGACTTCCAGATATTTTCCATTGATATCTGAGAGAATAACTCTCAGAGAAGAGCATACTTGTCATGGAATAGAAAGATATCCCAAAAAGTATGTTTTTCTAGTTTTTATTCCTAAACTTCTTTAATACATCTTTTTTTTTTTTTTTTTTTTTCTGAGACGGAGTCTCATTCTGTTGCCCAGGCTGGAGTGCAGTGGCGCGATCTCCGCTCACTGCAAGCTCAACCTCCTGGGTTCACGCCATTCTCCTGCCTCAGCCTCCCGAGTAGCTGGGACTACAGGCGCCTGCCACCAAGCCAGGCTGATTTTTTGTATTTTTAGCAGAGACGGGGTTTCATCGTGTTAGCCAGGATGGTCTCGATCTCCTGACCTGGTGATCCTCCCGCCTCGGCCTCCCAAAGTGCTGGGATTACAGGCATGAGCCACTGCGCCTGGCCTAATACTTCTTATACTTGAAAATTTTCAGTATGTGTTAGATTCCAGAACTTAAAATTGTATACAGGTGAAAAATACTCTGCATTTAAAATCAGTCTTTATGGAGCAAGTGGTTCTCAAGCTTTGTTTGGTTTACACAAGAATCACTTGGAGGAGATGCTTTTTTTGGTGCAAAATACATTTATTTCCAATTAAAATTGTATTTAAAAATAAACATTATTTTGTACAAAAGCTTTAGGTTCACAGCAATACTGAGTAGATGATCCCATCCCCACGCATGCATAGCCTCCTTCATTATCAGCATCCAAAGGGATGCTTTTTAAAAATGTGATTTCTCAGGCCCTACTACAAGAGATTTGTATTCGTTTGATGTGGGATGGAATCTGGAAATTTGTGTTTTTTAAAAAATCCAGGTAGTATTAATGCCATATTAAGGACCACACTTTGAGAAACGGCTATAGAGAAGGTCTTTTTAATGGCATGTTATAAAAGAATAATTTTTTAAAAATCTGGTTTTATTTCAGGAGCCAAGAATATACATGAATGCATTAAGACAGGTATTTAAAAGAAAGACATAGGTATTTCATAACCTGTTGGGGGATATTTTGCTTAACTCACTAGGTTGGATGGCCTACAGAGCAAACTCATCTTGGCAATGGTTATGTAGTTGTTGCCAAAAGTTCTTAGTGAAAAATTCAAATTCAGCATTCAGATCAATGAAGGCTTTGCAAAATACCATAATTATTATGGCCACCTTGTCACCTGCTGGGCTAATAAGTTTTCCGGGAAAGAACTTTCTTATCTCTCAAAAAAGGGTCATATTTTAAAATTATCTGTATTTCTATGACATTGAACTTAATCTTTTTAGGCAAATGCAAGACACATTATCATGTGACTAAGGAATGGATTCATGGAGGAAAAAATTTAAAAACTTAATGCATTGTTGACTTAGTTTTCAGAATCATTTAACATTCAATTTCCTTCTTTTCTTAAAAAAATTGTAAAGACAGATCAGTAGAATATTTTCTTCTTGTTCTGCATTCGGATTCCTTTATGTATATATATGTTATTTATATATATTATTTATATATGTTTTATATATGTAATTATTCTTTAAAGAAATTGCAACTTGGATTTGGCTTTTTTTTTAAAGGGAACACTCAAAAGTACTTACCACTATTTGGGTAGTTAAACCATTATTTTGACTTTAACCATGCTTGGCCTTTATTATAACAAATAAAAATATAGTTAATTTGAACTAATTAGCAAATTACATTAATGAAGGATATGTGTGTTAGTAGCAATTTCATTTAGATTATGTACAAGAATACAAAATAAAAAGACCAGAAAGCTGGGCGTGGTGGCTCATACCTGTAATCCCAGCACTTTGGGAGGCAGATCACCTGAGGTGAGGAGTTCAAGACCAGCCTGGTCAACATGGAGAAGCCCCGTCTCTACTAAAAATACAAAAATTAGCCAGGCACAGTAGCAGGCACCTGTAATCCCAGATACTGGGGAGGCTGAGGCAGGAGAATTGCTTGAACCTGGGAGGCGGAGGTTATGGTAAGCCAAGATTTTGCACTGCTGCACTCCAGCCTGGGTGACAGAGCGAAACTCTGTCTCAGAACAAACAACAACAACAACAACAACAACAAAATCCAGAAATAATTATCTAATTATATGGCAAGAAGTATGGTGTCATGATCTCGGCTCATTACAACCTCCACCTCCCAGGTTCAAGCAGTTCTCCTGCTTCAGCCTCCCAAGTAACTGGGCTTACAGGCACCTGCCACCACACCCGGCTAATTTTTGTATTTTTGGTAGACACGGGGTTTTACCATGTTGGCCAGGCTGGTCTCGAACTCCTGACCTCAAGTGATCTGCCTGCCTCAGCCTCCCAAAGTGCTGGGATTATAGATATGAGCCACTGCACCCAGCCGAGCCTAGTATACTATCTTGGTAAACTGATTTTACATTCTAGTTTCAAGTAGCAAGTCTATTATGTGTCTGTATCTCATCCTGAAACTTCTCACTAAGGCTTCAATTTTTTATTATCCTCAATAATCTAATTACATTTCTATTTGGATATGCTGTTGTGTCTCAATCATCTCTCATGAGGAATTTCTAATTCCCATATTTTTGTGACTAGCACCATTATTTTGGTCTCCTATGCCTATAACATTAGAACTAACTGCTTCTTATCCTCTACTTAATCCTTTGTCTATTTTGTCACTGTGTATATTAATTATGAGTCTTTTGGCTTCAAGTGACTGAATTTGAAACTCCAGCTACCTTAAGAAAAAAAAAGGGATTTATTGGAAGGATCCTGGGTACCTCATATAATTTAGAAAGAGAAAAAAGAGAGAGAGACAGCTGCAGGAAACTAAAGCAGCTCTACACACCTCAGGAACTGGAACCAGCAAAGTGGTGCCACCAAAATGCACTCTTTCTGTTTCTACCTGGATGATAGCTATACTTTCTGGGTCTTTTCCACAAGGCTGGGATTCTAGTAGTAGACTTAGGTCACACCCATTCAGCAGCATCTGCATTTAAAAACTCAGTTTGGCCTCTAGTTTAAATTCAGCCAGTCTCAGGGGGCATTCTTAGTGGTACAACTTGGGTCATGTGCCTATTCCTTAGAATAATCACTATGGGTAGATGGATGCTGTACTAAGTAATTGGCCCAGCCTGGATCATGTGCTACCCCTGGGGCATGTGTATGTGTAAAAGAGAGAGAGGGAGACAGAGAGACAGAAGACAGAGCCAGAGAGAAAGAATAGGATTGGCAGTTGCATTCATTCATGTCCTCTAACAAGCAGATGCCAAACAGGATTAAATGTATAAGGATTTTATTAGATATACTTAGACATATACAACCTATATATCTGTGTAAAAGGATATATATATAGGGAGGGTGCTGGAAATGGCTGGGAAGCCATCAGACCATGATGCAATCTGACTCTAAGTGAAGGTAAAAGAGAGAATAGTTTGGGTCTAGATTGCTAGGCAGTCTATAGAGGGTTCTGCAAGATTATCAGGTAGTTCCTGAGGCAAAGTTGCTGAAAGGTAGTCTCTTGTCTTCCTGGAATGGAGCTCCCTTGGTGTCCCTATCACACTCAGTTACTGGTGGCAGCAACCTGTATGAGATGTGGTCTCAGTGCATACATGGAGATGGATTTCCAAGTGCAGCAGCTGAGGCCCTTATTCAAGTGCGCTCTTTTTGGTAGGAGTTCTACCAAGGGCATTCTCATGGCTGCACCTCAGTCCCCTCCATAATCATATGGCTGGAGTGGGAGAGGGGCAACTTTTGGAAAATAAAGGATATATTTTTCTGGTCAGATAAGATAATGTCCAGTACACTAAGTATCGTCAAAATTCTTTTAACATGCCTCTCCACCTAACTTCCTTTCCATGCTTACAGCTGCTCTCATTGTCCATGCTTTCACCATCTGATTCTTGGACTACTGTGGCATCTTCTAATTAGTTCCTGCATTTATTCTCTACTTTCTTGAACTAATCCTATACTCCCTCTTATAATTTACTGCCCAGAATGTCACTTCGAACATATCACTTTCTTGCTAAAATCCTTACAAGATTCTGGGGGTCCTCAGTCTGCCATTCAGCAATAGTAATATGACTCTTACAATTCCTCAGTTCTACTTCTTTACTCTTGAAAATCTCCTCATCTTTCAAGTACATCATGTTCATTTCCATCTCAAGCTTGTCTTAGAATCATTGACTCTTAGGCAGAAAATCTCTATATGAGCATTAATTTCTCTCCACTTTGGCTTCTTGGACCTTTGGGAGATTAGAGGTGAATCACTGAAAATTAAAGCTAAAGTATAAATGAGGAGGAGTGAGGCGAGAGAAACCTAAGGTATGGGCCCTATGACAAAACTAGCATGTGGTCCTTAGGATTTTGAGAGCAGGAGACTGGGATACAATGAAACCTGCTGGAAAGTTAGACTGTGGGAGAGAGAGGGATGGGGAGACTGGTACAGGTTCCAGGATGGGTCTTTGGCAAGAAGAAAGCCTACCTGGGAAACCACTGGTTTCAACTATCTGAAGTGCTTCCACCAACACAGAGTGGAAAAACCCCCAAAAAACAAACAAACATAAAAAATGCCAAGTAAGGAGGAGGGGAAAGGGCTGGCAGCTTCCCAAATCTGCCATCCACCTAATGCTTTTGTTGAGTCGCCTGTTAGCATAATTCTCTTCCAATAGACCTTGTATGTAGGCTATGATTACAATCTGGTTTAATGTGGTAAAAAAAAACCAATTATTATGCACACTAAACCAAGAGAGACCATTCATGACAGTGATAATCTCGGCACTGGGGCTTATAACAAGCACAGATCTCTTCCTGTACAGCTGCCACCCACTGGTTTTGGCTCTAACCATCGTGACCATACTGAATAAGCCTGATCTCTTTTCATCTGGCAGACATTCAAATATTTGAAAACAATTATCATGGAGTCCCTGAGTCATTTCTTTTTCAGACTAAACTTTATCAGCTTTTTAGCCTTTTTCACATAGAATATAATTAGAAATATCTTGCCATTGAATTCACTCCAGGTATTTTTTTTTTTTAACCAGGGCAGGGAAGACTGGGATTGCTGCTGTCTTTTTGATAGATAATAGGTATCTAAAATTGCAGTCTAAAACCACATTAATAATTTTAGTAGGCACCCCATATATACAAATTGAACTTACTCTCAATTAAAACTCCACGTCCATTCTACCTGTGCTGCTTCTGGTCTAGGTTTTCCCTATTCTACTTTCATTCATTTATTGAAGGGCTTTATTGATGATTTCTTATTAATTAAATACATTTTCACTAATGAGGGATCACTGTGGGCTTGGCACTGGGAGTAGGGGAAGATTTAGAACTGCTGAGATCCTCTCCCATTGCTGTGACCCGGGGGAGCTAGAGATGGTAGGAATCCCAGGTCAGGACTAAGGCTGAGGTAAGCCAGGAACCTAGGGTGCAACACTTAAGGAGGCACTCACTGTCGGGTTGGTGCAAGCGCAGCACAAATAGTGTATTATTCTGGACAGAGTTCTTATCCAATCCCCTCTCTGGTTTATTGTTTAGAATAAGCTGAGAGCATAGCTCAGGTGGGTCAGTTGCAGGTTTTGGACATTTTAACTACAAACCAAAGTTTTACAGTTTATATTCTGCATTTATATTCATTATAGAATACATTCGTACTCTGCACAAAGGACCACACAAGCATATACCGTTATTTAATATACAATGAGGAAAATCATAGTTGATATGTGGTATGTCAGGGTGAGAGAATTCAGAATATAAGACGGGTTTTTCCTGGAGCCTCCCTGACAGCACTGTAAGGAGGGATAGGAGAAGTATACATAGAAATCCAAATTTTGCCCCCAGTTTGTAGGGTGTTTATGCTCAGAGTCCTCCTGTGGTTTTTGGATCCTTGATGTCATTGTCCAAATTAAAAAAAAAAAAAAACTATGACCAGGCTCCAGATTTCTCCCATCTGCAGAGATATAGCTCAGCACATTAAATGACTTCCCATTGACCAGCACCAATAGAAAAGCCCTACATAGAAAATTTGGAGAAAATAAAGAACTTCATCTGTGATTATATAACTAAGCCTCAGACATAAAAGAAGGCTAAATCAAAAGGGAATGGCCCCTAAGAGAGAACAGTAAAACCCTTTCCAGGAAAACAAAGAGAATGAGAGCACAGACCAAGGTGGGTTGAATACACACTTCCTCCCTCAGACTGGCTTGCCCTGTCTGGCTCAAACCAATTCTATTTAAGGAATTCCTCATTTAAGCCTCCTCAGTGAAAGGGAACCAGGAAGATGAATGAAACAGAGTTACTAACTTAGGGCTCAGTTTAGGGCCCATTCAATTATGAAGAGACACTCTAAATATAATAAACATAAATGCAAATATCATGAGAATTCTTACCTCTGATGGAAGGTAGGCTTGGGAGGCATCACAGAGGAGAGAAGCCATTCGAACCTTTACTTTCAGAATATATTTTTATATTTTTAATGTCAAAACAAAAATTAATATTTTCCAATTGAGACTCCTCCATACCCAGCATATTCCCAAGAGGCAAACTTTTATAAGTTTCTGTTTTTAGTTCTTGCGATTATCACCATATGCTAAATAATATAATTCTATCAGCTGGGCACGGTGGC
This sequence comes from Homo sapiens, assembly GCF_000001405.40. Lineage (NCBI taxonomy): Eukaryota > Metazoa > Chordata > Mammalia > Primates > Hominidae > Homo > Homo sapiens. The sequence goes on from NC_000001.11 coordinate 209,928,090, forward strand.
TCACGCCTGTAATCTTAGCACTTTGGGAGGCCGAGGTAGGCGGATCATCTGAGATCAGGAGTTTGAGACCAGCCTGACCAACATGGTGAAACCCTGTTTCTACTAAAAACACAAAAATTAGCCGGGTGTGGTGTCGCGTGCCTGTAATCCCAGCTACCCAGGAGGCTGAGGCAGGAGAATCGCTGGAACCTGGGATGCAGAGGCTGCAGTGAGCCGAGATCGCACCACTGCACTCCAGCCTGGGCGATAGAGCAAGACTCTGTCTCAGAAAAAAAAAAAAAAAAGAAAGAAAGAAAAAGAAAAGAATATAATTCTGGCCGGATGTGGTGGCTCACGCCTATAATCCCAGCACTTTGGGAGGCGAAAGTGGGTGGATTGAGACCATCTTGGCCAACATGGTGAAACCCCATCTCTACTAAAAATACAAAATTAGCTGGGCGTGGTGGCGCGCGCCTGTAGTCCCAGCTACTCAGGAGGCTGAGGCAGGAGAATCGCTTGGACCTGGGAGGTGGAGGTTGCACTGAGCCGAGATCGTGCCACTGCACTCCAGCCTGGCGACAGAGGGCGACTCCATCTCAAAACAAAACAAAACAAAACAAAAAAACCCATATGTAAATATATATATATTTCTATCTTCTAAGTTTAGATATCTATTGATTCCAGGTTATGAAAGAAGAAGAATTTGGCTCATATATAATCTGTCCTCTGTAACTGTGGGTTCTGCATCCACAGATTCAACTGTGAATTTAAAAATTTGAAAAAAAAATACCAATACAACAATAAGAAATAATACAAATTTAAAAAAATACAGTATAATAAATAGCATTTACTTTGAATTCGAAATTGTAAGTAATCTAGAGATAACTTAAAATATACAGAAGGATGTGGTTAGGTTATATGCAAATTATCTTCCATTTTATATAAAGAACTTAAGCATTCATGGACTTTGGAATGGGGAGGAGTGTCCTGGAACCAATTTTCCGAGGATACTGAGGGATGACTATATACTATTTCCCACCTCCTCCCTTCCTCTTTTTCTGAATGTATATATAGAAGATACAATAGAAGAATATATAGGCCAGGTGTGGTGGCTCATGCCTGTAATCCCAGCACTTTGGGAGGCCAAGGCAGGCGAATCACTTGAGGTCAGGAGTTCGAGACCAGCCTGGCCAACATGGTGAAACCCCGTCTCTACTAAAAATACAAAAATTAGTCTCGTGTGGTGGCACAAACCTGTAATTCCAGGTACTCAGGAGGCTGAGGCAGGAGAATTGCTTGAACCGGAAGGTGGAGGTTGCAGTGAGGTGAGATCACGCCACTGTACTCCAGCCTGGGCAACAGAGAGAGACTTCATCTCAAAAAAAAAAAAAAAAAGAATATATATATTATACATATATATGTATGTATATATATATGTGTTCTATTGCTCATTTATATCAATTTCAAAATATAATAAAATTTGTCCTTATTTTCCATAAATTTTAAAAAGTAATTTTAATTCTCCCTTATGTAAGTTGGGAGAAATTACCATCCTTGTTCTCCATCCCTCATTCCTCTGCTTTACTTCTCAGCCTCTGATGGCTATATTCTTATTTTGATATTGTCAATATTGATAACATTTATGTTTGGTTCTGTGAAGTATTCTGCGCCTTTCATAATATCTTTGAATTAATAAATAATATCTATATGTTATGATTAAAGAAATATTATTTACTGTGTTTCAAGTTGTATGATTACAATTTTAAATTGGAAAATGTGGTGCTATGTTGCTAAATCAGTGCTGCTCAAAAGAGAATATTCCAAGTGTCAAGGTCAACTAGATTTTCTCTAACAACTTTAACAATGACTCAAACTCAAGCCATACTTAATTTGTTTCATATGTGGGCCATATGGCTTTTCCACCCTAGAGCATCTAACTGCTCTTCTTTCTACTAAGAGAAAAAATGTATGCCTTTTTCATAACAATAAGATCTTTCAGCATTGTAGTATATTAGTTGTTGAATGGTAATTTTCTTTCTGAATATTTTCTTCAGACTTCCCTTTAAATTTGTTGATTTTCAGGTTCATTGTCTTCCTATGATTTCTTTTCATTATACTCATAGGTTAGTTTCATGGTTTCTTGGATCTATAGCTTCTTCCTTGAATTATTATTTTGTTGGGCTATATCATCAAGTTAAAAATTAAAAAAAATGTGCACAACAGTAGATTTTTAAAAAATTTATGAATGCCTGAAATGCTTTACTCTGTCCTCATTCATGATTGAATCAGGCTTGACATAGAATTTGAAGTTCATAATCATTCTTTCTTAAAGACTCCACAGTCATTGCTCCTTTTTTTTTTTTCAGATGGAGTCTCACTGCAACACCCAGGCTAGAGTGCAATGGCATGATCTTGGCTCACTGCAACCTCTACTTCTGGGGTTCAAGTGATTCCCCTGCCCCAGCCTCCCAAGTAGCTGGGACTACAGGCACGCACCACCACATCTGGCTAATTTTTGTATTTTTTATAGAGGCACAGTTTCACCATATTGGCCAGGCTGGTCTTGAACTCTTGACCTCCAGTGACCCGCCGCTTCAGCCTCCCAAAGTGCTGGGACTACAGGCATTAGCCACCGCACCCGGCTGCTCCCTTCTTTTCTAATATCCAGTTTGTCATTGAAATCTCTGATCCCAGTTTGAACCTCAGTTTTTCAGAGTTAAGTTATTTATTTTAATTTTTCTTTTTACCCTTTCTTTTAAAAAATCTCTGCTTTAAGAATCTTCACTATTCTTGATGTTCTAAAATTCCATTCCATGGGATGTGTCTCAATGTGGGTTTTCGTTCATTCATCTTGCTTGGCTCTCGCAGGGTTCTTTCCATCTAAAGTCCAGGGCCTTTCTTTAGATCAGAGAAATAGTTTTGCATTGTTTCTTTAACTGTTTGCACTCCAGATCCTCTCTTCTTTCCATCTGGAACTCTTATTGGCTAAACTCTAGACTTTCAGAATTGATCTTCAATGAATTTTATTTTTTTCTCCTATTTTCCATTCACCTGTCTTTTGTCTCTTCTAGTTTTTTCTTTTTCCTTTTACAAACAGATTTTTTGAAGCATAATTGACAAACAATAAATTGCATATGTTTTAAGTATATGAATTGATCAGTTTTGACATAGAAATACACTCATGACACCATTACCACAATCAAGATAAGACATCAGTCAGCCCCCAAAACTCCCTTCTGTCCCTTTGTAATCTCTCCCTCCTGCCCCTTCCTAGACCACTTTATCTCTTTCCTCCCAGGCAACCACTGATTTACTGCCTGTCACTATAGATTATGTAGTTTGTATATTTTAGACTTTTATATGAATGGAATCATAGAGTATGTATTCATTTTTCTCCCTGGCTTTTTTTCATTCAGCATAATTATTTTGAGGTTCATCCACGATGTTGTGTGCATCGACAGTTTATTCCTTTTAATTACTGGTTATTACTTCATTATATAGATATGCCACAGTTTGTTTATTCATTCACTTATGATGAACATTTGGGTTGTTTCCAGTTTTTGGCAACTTCAAATAATGCTGCTATGAACACTCAGGTACAAGTCTTTGTATGGACATATGCTTTCTTCCTTTTTTTTTTTGAGATGGAATCTTGCTGTGTCGCCCAGGCTGGAGTGCAGTGGCGTGATCACGGCTCACTGTAGCCTCTGCCTCCCAGGCTCAAGCCATCCTCCCACCTCAGCCTCCTGAACAGCTGGGACCACAGGCACGTGCCAACACCCCCGGCTAATCTTTTGTATTTCTTGTTGTAAAGTCAGGGTTTCACTATGTTGCCCAGGCTGGTCTCAAACTCCTGAGCTCAAGCAATCCACCTGCCTCAGCCTTCCAAAGTGATGGGATTACAGGTGTGAGCCACTGAGCCCAACCTCTCCTAGGTCTTTTACAAATGTCTAAAGATCCTTTATTTAAGAACTTATATTTTAAAATAAAGGACAAGGTGGAATAATACATGTAGTTAGTATATCAAAATATAGAGGGCTTTATGTCAGGGTGCCAACACTAGGAGCCTTACCTCTTTCTAGAAAGATGTTCAATTTATTTACAATTCTCTGATTCTATACTACAAATTTCACTTCTTTCTGGCAGTTATCCATACATTTGGGTTTGAGAAAAATAGGGGAGGCTGGATTGAACTAGCTATCCATTGATAGGCTTTTTTTTTTTTTTTTTTTTTTTTTTGAGATGGAGTCTCGCTCTGTTGCCCAGGCTGGAGTGCAGTGGCATGATCTCAGTTCACTGCAACCTCCGCCTCCCGGGTTCAAGCGATTCTCCTGCCTCAGCTTCCTGAGTAGCTGGGACTAAAGGTGCGTGCCACCATGCCCGGCTAATTTTTGTACTTTTAGTAGAGACGGTGTTTCACCATGTTGGCCAGGATGGTCTCAGTCTCTTGACCTTGTGATCTGCCCGCCTGGGCCTCCCAAAGTTCTAGGATTACAGGCATGAGCCACTGCGCCCGCCCCACTGATAGGCTTTTAATTAAGTTCCCTTACTTCTACTCTAGAATCTGCTTTTCCACTTCATTTCTATCCACTTCAAGCCCAAGGTCCCTGGTGCTTTATTGGGAAAGACAGCTTTCATCATTGCTCTGGCATTCTTCTATGAGTTCTGGGCTGACATTTCTCTCTATTGATATATCCATTGCAGCTAAAGTTTTCCCTCTAGAAAGTTGTTAAAAGTCTGTGATCAACTAATGCACATGCATCTCCCTTTCACCACTATTATCTGAAGATTTTAACATAAGAATAAAATGCTCAGGTATGTATTTTGGAAATGCAGTGTATAATATTGATAGAATTGAAGAAGATAAATTTGCACAAGGTAATCATATGTGGAATAAAGGGAAAGACAGTCAAAGTAGGAAGATAATCTAGGAATTTATTGTAAAAATCTGGAAAAGAGATGATGAGGGCATCCATTAGGAAAAGGAGATAAAAGTAGGGTTTTGATTATACACATATGGTGGAATCTACAGATTTAATGACCTTTTGAGAGTGAGGAATACAAATAATTCTAAGTCATTCTAATTTGGACGACTTAGTGGATTGTGGTATCAATAACTTGGGTGGTGAATAAAGAAAGAGGAATAATTTTTTTTAAAAAGACAATGTAGTGAGTTTGATTAAGAAGTAGGTTGAGCATAACAGGTGGAAATTACCAGGAGGCAACTGAAAGTAATAGTCTGATATTTAAAAGGTTTAGAAATGGATCCCAGTGGAAATGTTATGCAAACATTACAAAGGACAATGTAGTTGTTACATTTTAGATTGAGAGTTTGAAATTTAGTAGCCTCTTGAACAATGGTGAATTCAGTTGGATTAATATTTAACAATATAGACATAAACTCAATCAAGTGTATTTTGGTTGGGTGAGGAGTGTGGGTGGAGAAGAAAACAAACATGGCTTAGCATCTAGCACAGGAGTACATTTCCCCTCTGTAAATTCATAACAATCAGATGCAGTTAACAGAAACTAGTAGAAGTAGCAGGTACCCTAACTGCTTTATCTCATATTTTCTATATCACCTTTTCTACTGAAAGCTAAGCAAGGTCGGGTGCGGTGGCTCACACCTGTAATCCCAGCACTTTGGGAGGCTGAGGCAGGTGGATCACTTGAGGTCAGGAGTTTGAGACCAGCCTGGCCAACATTGTGAAGCCCCACCTCCACTAAAAATACAAAATTAGCAGAGTGCATGCCTGTAATCCCAGCTGCTTGGGATGCTAGACAGAAGAATCGCTTGAACCTGGGAGGTGGAGGTTACAGTGAGCCAAGATCATGCCACTGCACTCCAGCCTGGGCAACAGAGTGAGACTCTGTCTCAAACAAACAAACAAAAAAAACTAAGCTAAATATTTATGCATGGAGTTTTAGGAGACAAACTGGATTACTTAAGTACTTATTATCAAGAGTTCATTTAATCAGTTTTTTAGTATTTTAAAAATTCAGTATCTTCATGAAATGAAAACTTTACCATAGCAATTGAAACATGAATTGTGCTTGGAGTCTCACAATGTACTTCCAGTCCTTAATATATCATTTACAATTCAAAATTGTACTCTTACAAGTCATTCTATAATTGATTTTATAGTCTATCTTTCTGAATCCTTAAAAAATGTTCCATAATTCCTTTAGTAAATTGCTCCATGTTAAAATAGAAAACACTAATAAACTTTCTGTCAGATTATGGCATGTTATACCATGTTAAACTATTAAGTTTTTTCCCTTTCCTTCATAACAGTAAGTAAATACTTAAGCAAAGAGAAATTCTGTATTAGGAAATGATGATTAGGAAGATGATAATGAGAAATACTATTTTACATAAAGAGTTTTCAATAATCCATTTTTAGCTTCTCTTTATCACAATCATCAATGGCTATTTTATCCAATTTTTGTGTAGATGTATGCATCAGAGTTTAAGAACTACAATTATAAAGGATACATGACACCAAGCCTGTTATAATTTATTCATTTAACAACAATTTATTGAGCACCTATTTTTATACAAAGAACAATGTTTGACAGCATTGTATTTGAACAGTGTAAGCAATAAAAGATCTTAGTGACCCTCATAGACTCTCTGGTCTGATCAAGCCCATTATTTTACCTCCTTTTTCTAAATGATGCCCTAATCATCTCTTTTCCAGATTATCCTAAATTATCTTTTGCTTTGACTCTCCTTCCTCTATTCCACACATCATTACCCTGTCCAAATTTGCAATTATATAAACCAAGAAGAGTTGAATAATGTTTTTGCAGCAGAAGACCATTTTCTCATCTAACTCAATTTATTCTAGGTGTAAAATTCAATTTCTTTCCTGTATATATATATTCTTTAGGGCTTCTAAAAGTTGCTTCCGCTTTCTACATGATAGGTGGCTGTATTTACTGGTGGGTGACATATTTATGTCATGTAAAAGGTGTGTGGCACACTTTTTGACCTCTGAGTGAAAGTCACTATATAAATGTCACTTGTCATTATCATGGGAACACTCAGCTGTGAAAAAAGGTTTTAAATATAGTCAAGTACTGTTACCTAGAACAAAATAATAACTTCTTTGTTGTGAATAAGAACACTTAGTTACAGTAGCCTGTATCCTACTAAGCATGTACTTGTTGATCATTTTGTGTTAAATTGGTCTATATGTTTAAAAGTTCTGTTCACTCCTACGAGCTGACAGGCCAGTATCGTGCTGTGTTATTATTCTTTTGAAAAACCTCTGTGTACTGCTCTATGCAGCTAGCCAATAGCAATAACTTCAGTGAGCAATAAGAAAATTATAGCAGATTATACAGGAATAATATCATAGTTACAGAGGAAAAGGAAGTGTAGTTGGCCCTTCTGTCTGAATGAAACGCTTAGAAGATACCATGGAAGGAAAGCACAGGATAATAAATTAGTGTCCGTGCTATTTGCTTACTTCTTTCTTTTCTTTGCTAGAGCTTGTGTTACTTCTAAAGCTTTAGGTGGCAGGAAAAAAACTACCATTTGATCTAAGTGAACAAAAATAATTCTAGAATATTTCATGTTAGTTTTTCCCTGTTATAACTGTGCTATCTATAGTAGAGTAAATGACAACTCTTGAGGAAAATATTTGCTGGAGGAAATGGAAGAGAAAACAAAATTATTCTGATTTCTGGTTATTTTTTTCCATCTCCATCTTTAACTACCTCCACACAGCATGATGGATATATTTCTTAACAGTGTCAGGTCATTAGATAGAATTGCCAAACATGGGAAATTGCTGCTATTCTTTTCCCACTACAGACATTACAGTTTATCTCACCAAGTGCTCATTAAATAATCTTCTTTCTTAGTTCCTGGCTGAACACTACCATGCCATTTCTGTAGCTCTAAGTCTATGCTGTTTGATATGGCAGACAATAGCCACAAGTGGCTTTTTAAACTTTAAACTGAATAAAATTAAATAAAGCTAAAAATTCAGTTCCTCAGTTGCACTCCCTACGTTTAAAGTGCTCAATAGTCACAGGTGGCTACGGGCCACTGTATTGGACAGCACAAATACAGAGTGTTTTAATAGTTGCGGACAATTCTTTTGGATAGCTCTGCTGTAAGGGAACTGCAGGGAAGTACGATGAAAGGCAAGTGCTTGCAAAAGAGTTAGAAGGTAGACAAGAGGTGGATGTCTAGACAGTACAGTACCTTTGTAGTTACTACTTAACTCATTTATCCCTGAGGTTGCAATTTTTAGAATTTTTGCAATCAGACCTTGGCGATGACCTTGAGCAGCAGGATGTAAACAACTCCCGCGTGCTTAGCGTTCCAATAATGGAACACTAGGCATAAGTTAAGTTCTTTCTGTCCAACAACCTCCTTCTAGGAACTATCTTCCTTCTTCCCCAGTTCATCCACATGAGTCTCCTGGACAAATAAGTCTCCTGGACAAATAGTAGCGATGTTAATCTAGGTTATGGAAACTCACATAATCTGGTTATTTACTTAGTAACTATGTAATTGGTGAGGAAAGGATGAATACATTTTTCGGGCTTTCAATATGAAATTCTTTAAAAGTTTGAACAATTGGGTTACTCAGAACTAGCCAGAAACCACAACTTACAACTGTGGTGTCAAGTTCAGATCAATGTCTTGGAGTTCAAGACTGTTTTAAGGGAGGCTGCCTGGGGAAAATGTCATTAAACATTTTACCCGAATCCTCTAGATGTCCATCATAAACTCTCTCATGGAGCTTTCCTAAAGTATAGGCATTTTAATGTTTCCTGAGTAAAACAGTATTTTCTTTGATCCTTCAATAACAATTCTTGCTTGTAGCCAGTTTTCAGCACAGTGCCGGCTTCACAGATACTCACTGAACTAAAGAAAATGGTAAAGGATGAATGTCTATTGAGCATAAAATGCGACTGAGGGAGAGGTTATATAAAAGCAATGGAAGACAGTTTCTGCTCTAGATTTACAGTCCAACCTTACTTACATAAGTGTAAAATATTTTCTTCTTTGTTTCAGTCCCTAATATAGCTATTTTGCTCTAGGAATTAGCATTTCCTCCACAAGAGAGAATCACTAAACTCCCTATTTCTCAATGTTGTTTATGCCGTTGATTGTCCAGGTTCTCAAATTACTAAATGAAGTTGAGAGTTGGGTAAATGGTTGAGCGGTTCAAGTATCTTAAGTAAAAACTAAGTGGCCAATTGTTGTTGTGCTCAGGGTTGGCCTGGGACTGTTCACAATGGTCACAGGTTTACAAATTTTTAAAAACCTGCGTGTGACATGCTTTCCAGGTCCTTTGTCAAAACGTCCGTCTGACCCTGACTTTTGTGTGGCTTCAAATGTGCGTTTGCAATGTGTAGACAAATTCCAACTCAGAGTTCCAAGAGGTAAGCCAAGCTCTGTGTGGCAGCAAGGCTTATCAAGAGCGAGGCTAAGGGGTGAAGTGAGTGTGTGTGTGTGTGTGTGTGTGAGAGAGAGAGAGAGAGAGAGAGAGAGAGACCACTGCTGTGCTCAGGATTCCTCTCTCCTTTTTGCTTTTTGCCAACTAGCTGTTTCTCCACAGCGGAGATCTGAGACGAGTATGTGGCTGATTCGGGCAAAACAAAACAAAATAAAACCAAACGAAACCAAAACAGACTTACTATTACCAAATCTGAGAGTCAGTGGGTGGGAATCCTTTTCAACCAAGGAGACCTGTCCATGGTCCTGACCACATCATTTGCCACTCGCCTCCTTCATGGACACCGTTTGCTCCAAGTACCGGACGGGAGGGCGCCCGGCGCCAGGAAGCTTGGGCTTGGGCCCCCACACGAGCTCGGCGCGCTTCGGGCGGGTCTCGGGCGCGGGCCCGTGGCTCTCCGGGCCGGGCACCTGTTTCGAATCGAGGCGCGAGGCGCGGTGGGGCGGTGGGGTGGGGTGGGGTAGGTTGGGGTGGGGGCGGGGTGGCGTCACGTGCCAGCGGCGGCCCCGGGAAGGTTCCATTTCTTCCGCGGCCCGCACTCGCGGCGCTCGGGGCCCCTCCCTCGCCCCGCCCGCGGCGCCCCTCGCGGCCGCACAGCCGGGCGACTCCGGGCCGGGCCCCGCCCCTCTCGCTGGCGGACTCAGCGCGTCCTCCGCCAGCCCTCGCGTCTGCTGCCCCCGCCATCCAGTTGGTGCGGTCCATGGCGAGCGCATCATGGCGATTGAAGGTAAGTGGAGGCTGACAGCGGGGAGCGAGGACCGGGACCACCCAGCTGGCGGGGGGCTCGGAGGTGCGCCGGCAGGCCGAGGCGCTGACGGGGCCGCCTCCTGTGGTCTGGAGCCGGCTGAAGACGCGCGGGGGTCCTGGCCGCGTCTCGGGAGGCGGGTGGGCGGAGCGGCGCCGCTGGGACGCCGGGCCCGACTGGCTCGCTCGCCCCGGCCTTCGTGGTTTTGCCGGCCTCCCGGCGGCCGCACGCGGGGCAAAGCGGGCTGGCGGGCAGGTACAGCGTCCGGGCCGCCGCCTCCTGCCGGCCGCGCGGAGTGGAGGTCGGGGTGAGGCCCTGCAGACCCCACGGGACGGGCTGGGAGGAGCGAGGGGCCACGGGGGGCTCAGGCTGCCCTTTCTTTTCTTTCCCCGGCCGCGGCAAACCATCCTTCCGCAATACCCACCTTCCTGCCAAACTGAGAGTCCAGTTTTTTGTCCCATTCCTAACCCTTCCCTGTGCCCGCTCGGGCTGATGCTGGGTTACACTCTCTGCCCGTTCCCCTTCTGTTTGCTGTTGTAGGGGGTCCAGGAAATTTGGGGTTAGGTTAATTTCCTCCTCAAGTGGTTTTGTTCCCCGCCAACACTCAAAACTGTTTTTCTCCATGAAAAGAAGTAAATAACGTCTTTACAACAAGCACACATTCTTAGAATCCTGCAAATACCAGTCTATGAAGTGTTATAGTGCCACAATGCTCATATTTCGAAAAACAGCTTAATAAAAATTAAGTTCCTAGATAAGGTAGTTGACACTAAAGTGTATTTTTCTCTTGTTCCAGAAACATGTAACTGGGACCAAGTGTCTATATTTTGCCTTGTTTTTAAGGAAGAGATTGTGAGAATTAATTTCACACGTCTAGGATATTTATGTGAAAGATTACATCTTCCAGGCCCTGTCTCTTAGATTAACTCAAACAGTGAAAGTAATTTGTAAATTTTCCCTGTGTGTGTATATTCATCTGTGCAGCTGTGCAAGGTACCTATAGCTATATCATTATTTCTCTACATTGAAAGTGTGTTCCTAAGTAAAACTTTTTAAAGCGTTTCCCTTCTAAGTGATCAATCACTGGTAGTATGCATCTCTGGGGACTTCTTTTTGTCGGATCATGTGGACTCCAAAGTAGAGTTAGCTGTGTGTTTACATGTAGCTTATTTATTTAAGAGAGGGAGTACCTATTGTATGCAAGACACATTCAGACAGTTTCAAATGTCTGCTTGAGTTAAAATGGTGGGGAATAAGATCTACCTATAATCTATGATGTTCCTGTTATCTGCAGCAGTACTTTCAACATTTGTTTCCCTCACTGTCCTTTTACCAAAGGTTAAAAATCAAGAAACCAAACCCACTGATTTATGTTGTGTACTTTATTTTCCCAACTAGTTTGTGGTAGAGTTTCTTGTGAAGCCGTGAAACTCTACCACACTACCACACTACCACACCACGTGAAAGTAGAAAGGTTTAGGCAGAGCATGAGGAAAATCCTTCAGGCAGATGCCATTCGGATATGATGCTATAACTTGTAATTTCTTAAAATCTTTTCAGTTTTTTCCGTTTTTTCTTAGTTCTTCCTTTCTTTCTACTGGCAGTTAAGTGTTACTGATTCATTTTCCATGTCACCTGATGGCATTTTACTCTGCCTACTGCTTAACATGTTTGAAGAATAAGATTTTTTAAATCCTCACATTCTAGAGATTCTTCTGTGTTTGAGATACTCTCATAAATATTTTCATACTGAAGCATTTGCTTAAGTTTTCATAATACAAAGATCAGGAATTATATCTTTTCTAGTTTGGCAAAGAAACTGTAATTAATATTAGCACTTCAGATAAAGATGGCAGTTCGAATTAGCCTAACTGTGCTCCTTATCACATAGTAAAATAGATTCATTATGCACACCCTTCCTAGGCTGTGTTATGAAGTAGAATGAGTTCTGCATGAGACTCTGTACTAAGGACATCTTAAAAATTTAGGGGCCCAAAAGGGCGTCTCATCTTTTCAGTAAAGTGTTTCTTAAAACATTCAGTTTCTTCATTCACCTATTAATTCAGTAGACCTTTTTTTTTTTTGTACAATAGCTGTATACAATGTTCATTGCTAGATTCCATGGGGCCAAAAAGATAAGTAAGACTATAACCCTTCTCTCAAAGAGTTCATGTTCTATTCGGAGAGACAGATAATTTTAAACATGCAATTACAGTGTAGTGTGAATGCTAAGAGATGGATCATCTTTCCTTTGTATAAAAACATTCAATGATGATGGGTCTAACACTGTTTTTTGGCAGTAATTCTTATATTCATAAGGTCTTTGTATTTGGCCGAATATCTGCCATTCAGTAACGTCTGTCTACCCATCCTAGTTTTGCTTTCTGTAGCAATAAATTAAAAGCCCACTATTCTCTCTATATATGATATCCCTTCTGCCATTTGAAGACAGCTCTAGAGTGTTTTCTAGATAAAATATCCACTTCCCTCCTCTGGATGATCTGTAGTTGTATGTTTTAAAATTTGGAATATAGTAGTGGGCCATTTCATTCCAGTTATACTGTTGAATAGCATACATCAAAACTGTTATACCACTCCTTCACTTATGTGTAATCCTATTAATATAGCTTAACATTAGAATAGGTTTTTTTGGAGCTTCATGTTGGCACAGAGCGAGGCTGTAATCAACTAAAACCACAGTCTCTTTTAGCTTGACTACTCCCTTGCTTAGCTAACCAATGTTTTGAACTGAACAGATCGTTTATATCTGTTAAGCATACTCTTATTAGCTATGGCCCAGTGTTTTAGCCCTTGAGTCTAGACTTTTAAGTACTAAGGATTGTTTTCATTTTCTTCTCTGTGTAAACCTATTTTATAACACAAAATTATTTCTACTAAGTAATCATTCATTTCCTCCTTTTATCAGTCAGATGTGTAACTATTAATCAAAAAAAGAGACAAATATAAGATGATAGAGTTACCACATGGAGCTAACATAATTCCAGTCAGCAGTAAAGAAGTTAGGCTATATTAGGCAAAGTTACAATTTTTGAAAGGCATTTTGAAATATTGACAATAGTTACACATCCTTACTGTTGGCCCAGTGATCTGGCAATACCAGGTTGGGAATCATTGTTGTAGCCTAGCCTATGAAGTGATGTAATTGCTATCCAGCATATTAATTCTTCTAGTGTTGGCCTCTGTTAATCTGATAGCGTTGACACTTTTTTGTTGTATTTGAAATTTCCTCCTCTCTTGATTACATATTTCTCAGTTTTGTCTTAATTTACCTGACCTAATGTTCTAGTGGCTTCCATTCTTGACCCTGTTGCCATTGTCTGCTTTATACACATTGCCGTAATTGCACGCATTGAACAATTTAGTAATCACTTATTTACAAATTTGTTTCTCCTGTCCGACTGTAAATTTCTAGAGGTTAATGTCTTATTCATTTTTGTACCCCTTAGGTTTTGTATAGTACCTGAATACAGTTGTCCCTTGGTAACCGTGGGGGAGATTGGTTCCAGGTCCCCTGGAGACACTAAAATTTAAGAATGATCAAGTTCTTTATATCATATGGCATAATATTTGCATATAACTTATGCACATCCTCCCATATACTTTAAATCATCTCCAGTCTACTTGTAATACCTACTATAATGTAAATGCTATGTAAATAGTTCTTTAGGGAATAATGACAAGAAAAAAAGTCTGTACATATTCAGTACACATACAACCACTGTAGGCCTAACTACGTTTTCCATGCACGGTTAGTTAAATCCATAGATGCTGAACCTGTGGATATGGGGGGCCAATTGTATTTTGTATGATCTCAAGCCAAGTTTCTATGCATTGTTTCGTGGAATTCTGAACATCGTCATCATAAATTATGCCATTGTCCAGAAGCGTATTTCTAACACAGAATTTTCCTGACTTATATTTCCAAATAGTAGCTAGATACTTTCACATGGATGTCCTCGGCAATCCAAAATGTTAAGCTTAGGATATTCAGAATGTCCCAAAGTTGTCATCACAGCCACCAAATCCAGCCTCCATGCAAATTTACCCCCCCCCCCCCGCTCTGTTGTGCAGATTTACCATCTGAGAGGCATTTTTAAGTAACCAGGAATCTGAGTTAAAAACCTGGACAACAACCTTGCATTATAGTTCACCTCCCACATCTGTTGATAACTAAGTCCTGCCAAGTCTACAATTCAAATCAATTTGTGCTGCTTGGTGTCTTCACTTTAGTTTATGCCCTTATCGCTCATTAAGAGACTTGCATTAATTTCCTAAGTAGTCTCATTTCCAGTGTTAAGTTTCCTTCCAATTCATTTTCCAAGTTAGTGCTAGTTATCTTCATATTGCAAAATGCAAATCTGAGTTTCTTAAAACCTCAAGATAAGGCTGGTCCTTAATGATCTAACTTCCTTCCTTCATCCGGTCCACATTTTTCTTTCTCTTCCATAAGGGTATCAGAAGACTCTGCAAACTGTTTTGCCAAAGTAAAAAATAAACACTTGTTACGTTGCTGTATTAACTTTACTTAACTTCTCTGGGTAACATTTTTTAAAAATGTAGAATAAGGTTAAACTAGTGAGAATCTATGTGTGTGTTTGTATATGTGTGTGTGTGTATATAGTGCATTTACTTCTATTAATAATGTACCTTATAGTTTGCTACATACATATATTGTATTTTTAAAATAATGAGAAGAATACTGAGATGTTCTTTAAGGTTTCTTTTGGCTCTAAGATTTCTAAGGCAAAATTTAGACTTTCAAAAGCCATTTGAAATATTCAGTTAAAAAACCCAATAGATTTACTTTTGAATAATTTACAGTTTATTCAAGGTTACTTTTCTAACCGACTACACAAAATTAGAAACACTTAGCGAACATTAGAGACACAGTGGTATTTTATTTTTTGTTGTTTTAAGGTTGTATTAGAATGCAGCAGTGTACTTTGGTAGGCCGAGGCGGGCAGATCAGTTGAAGTCAGGAGTTTTGAGACCAGCCTGGCCAACATGGTGAAACCTTGTCTCTACTAAAAATACAAAACTTAGCTGGGTGTAGTGGCGCATACCTGTAGTCCCAGCTACTGGGGAGGCTGAGGCAGGAGAATCACCTAAACCCGGGAACCCGGGAGACTGAGCAGTGAGTCAAGATCGTGCCACTGCACTTCAGCCTGGACAACAGAGCGAGATTCAATCTCAAAAAAAAAAAAAAAAAAAAAAAAAAAAAGAGAATGCAGCAGTGCATGCCAATGGGGAAAGCAGAGAGAACCATATACTGGCTTAATTTATACAATTTGTTATTTGTTGAGTAATACTATTTGCATTATCAGTTTATTTGAAAATATTATGTTCGCACATAGTATATGTGTGGTAGTATAATAGATTGTTTTCATGAATTTTATTTCCATTTAGCTGACTTTATTCTTTTATTCTTTTCCTCTGAATCCTAGTCGATTACTACCTAATATGAAAGTGCTTACATATGAATAATGTAAGAATGAACAAACTACTATATATAAAACATTTCACGCTTTTGAGTAAAATGATTATATGCATATTTTGTATGTATATATAGTAATAGCTAAATTGGAACCTATCAAATTAGAACCCTTGATTTACCATTTTTTTAGAAGGGGGAAATAGTGACAACTCAGGAAGCTGTTATTAGGAGTTTATGAACAAATTTCTAAGAGCCACACATATATTCAGAACAATTTCTTATTTTCACATTTTTAGGACTATATTAGAATTGGTATTCAAGATATTATTTTGAGTCATCATGAGATAGAAGTTTTAATGAATATTAAATTATCTTCAGTATTCTGAACTTAATGCAGTAATGCATATTAGTAGCTTTAAAAAATGATCTGGTGCAGAAGTAAAAAAAAGGTTTTGTTTTATTGTCAGTTGACTAGAAAATTCACTTAAGTAGAATTTTTTGTGAGCACATACTTAAGGTTTTATTGTGTTACGTTAATGAGCATCTGGCAGTCAAAAACGTAATTGACTAAACGGATTGAATTAAAGAGTAGCTCAAAAGTTGGAAAAAAGGATTAATTTGTGAACAGTAATTTAATTTTATAAGATAAAATTTATACCTCTTAGAAAAGACTATTGAATAAATTCATAGGAACTTATGTGGATCAAATGAGATACCATATTTAGCATGCTTTGTAAATTATAAAGTGCTCTGAGATATTGTTGTCAATAAGATCTAGTTTATTTTATGTGATGCTGGAGGGGTAGTATGTGTTTCAAAGTGTAGGCTGCTATTTAGTAGAAATATCATAGATGAAATGAGTTTGTAAAAGTATAGAAAGGACTTGACTTTTTCAGACTATTTTAATTCTACAGTAATTGCATAGCAACAGCAAAAAGTAAAGGAATTCCAATTTGGGAGGATAACTCCCAGAGGGTTGGAGGCCTGAAGTTTTTTGTTTTTTTTTTCCCTCTCTTTTTTAAAGAAAAAATTCAAAAAAGAGGACAGGTTAAGAAGTATGAGAAAGTTAAACATTTATTTTGGAATATTTACATGGGAGAATGCTTGAAATTCAATGATAACTGTAGAAGAGAAGAAAACATCTCCAGAGCCTGAATTTCTTTGAATTTTATGTTCTACTTGGTGAAGAATGCAAAGGGAATTAACCTTTTTTGGGTGCTTGCCATGGGCCAGGCAACATATATTCATTTTCTCAATCATGAATAGCACTGCTTCTCCCTCTCTTGTCTGCAGCAGACATCTGTTTTATTAAGACATCTTTTTTCCTGCCAGTTGTGGACTTGGTTTCAGAATCCTTGGCAACCCTACCCTCCACCCCCACTCCAGCAGCTACTCCCAATCCATCAGAATTAGTATACAAGATGAAAGCTATTTTCTGTCCTGAGGTTATTATTACTATTTTATAAATTACTTTAGCTATTATTTTTACTTACTCCAAAGGTTAAGTAACAAGCACAGGTTTGCAAAGACAGTACTAGGTGACGCTGAGTTTAGAATTGAAGTCTGACTCAATTCAGAAGCAATGATCTTTATGTAACACTGTGTTTTAAATTGGTGACCAAAATTGGTATTATTCCTTGAATGGTCTAATTAGGGACAAAACTAAAAGATGTCTAGAGGGTAGTGACGATGGTCTAAGTGGATTAAATTGGTTGGGGGGAGTTGCATTAGTAGTTTCATGCTTACGATGTACAGTGTAGGTGTCTGCATAAGGATTAGCTATAAAAGAGTTTATAAATGTAAGCTAGGTGATCATTTAAAGGCTCTGACTAATGCATGTGCTTTGGAGAAGAATCTTTAGATGAGATGGAATTTAAGACATTTCTAAAGTAGCCTTTCAGTGTTTGACCAAGAAGAAATAAGTAGAACCTGTAAATTGTGGTGATTTAGGCTAATGATCAGAATAAACATGGTAGACAAAAAAATACAGTTGATTTTGAAAAGGACTCTTAGATCCATTTTAAAGGAACTAAATTTTGAGGTTTAATTCCATTTTTGTGTACAGGCATACCTCCTTGCACTTCATTTTGTTGTAAATTCACAAATTTGCATTTTTTACAAATTGAAAGTTTGTGGCAACTCTGTTGAATGAATCTATTGGCACAATTTTTTCAACAGCATGTGCTCACCTTGTGTCTCTGTGTCACGTTTTGGTAATTCTTGTTATATTTGAAACTTTTTCATTATTGTTATATTTGTTATGATGATCTGTGATCAGTGATCTTTGATGCTACTATTGTAATTGTTTTGGGCGCTACGAGCCATGCCAATATAAGATGGCAAACTTAGTTGATAAATGTTGTGTGTGTTCTGATTGTTCCACCAATCAGTTATTCCCTCAGTCTCTCTTCCTTTCCTTAGGCTTCCCTATTCCCTGAGACACAACAATTAATAACCCTACAAATGTTCAATGAAAGGAAGAGTCACATGTCTCTCACTTTAAATCAAAAGCTAGAAATGATTAATCCTAGTGAGGAAGGCATGTTAAAAGCTGAGACTGGCCAAAAGCTAGGCCTTTTGTGCCAGTAGGTGAAGTTGTGAATGCAAAGGAAAAGTTCTTGAAGGAAATTAACAGTGCTACCTGCTGTAGTGAACACATGAGTGACAGGAAGGCTTAACAGCCTTATTGCTGATATGGAGAAGTTTGAGTGGTCTGGATGGCAGATCAAACCAGCCACCACATTCTCTAAAGCCAAAGCCTAATCCAGAGTAAGTCCCTCACTCTCTTCAATTCTGTGAATGCTGAGAGAAGTGAAGAAGCTGCAGAAGAAAAGTTGGAGGCCAGCAGAGGTTAGTTCATAAGGTTTAGAAAGAAGCTATCTCCATAACATAAAAGTGTGAGGTGAAGCAGCAAGTGCTGATAGAGAAGCTGTAGCAGGTTATCCATAAGATCTAGCTGAGATCATTGATGAAGGTGGCTACACTAAACAACAGATTTTTGTTGTAGGTGAAACAGCCTGTTAGAAGAGGATGCCATCTAAGAGTTTCATAGCTAGAGGGGAGAAGTCAATGCCTGGCTTCAAAGCTTCAAAGGACAGGCTGACTCTCTTGTTAGGGGCTGATGCATCTGGTGACTTTAAGTGGAAGCCAGTGCCCATTGACGATTCTGAAAATCCTTGGGTTCTTAAGGATGCTAAATGTGCTCTGTGTGTGCTCTACAAATAGAAAACAGAGCCTAAAATTTTGGGGTTTTAAATGACAGAACATCTGTTTACAGCATGGTTTATTGAATATTTTGAGTCTGCTGTTGAGTCCTACTCAGAAAAAAGATGCCTTTCAAAATGTTACTGCTCATTGACAAGGCATCTGCTCACCCAGGAGCTCTGATGGAGACGTACAAGGAGATGAAGGTTGTTTTCATGCCTGCTAATACAACATTTATTCTGCAGCTCATGGATCAAGGATTAATTAAGACTTTCAAGCTTTATTATTTAGGAAATATATTGTGTAAGGCTGTAGCTGCCATAGATAGTGATTCCTTTGATGGACCTGGCAAAGTAAATTGAAAACTTTCTGGAAAGGATTAATCATTCTAGATGCCATTAAGAACATTTGTGATTCATTAGAGGAGGCCAAAATATCAACATTAATAGGAGTTTGGGAGAAGTTGATTCCAACTATCATGGATGACTTTGAAAGGCTCAAGACTTAAGTGGGGGAAGTCACTACAGATGAGGTGGAACTAGCAAGAGAACTAGAATTAGAAGTGGAGCCTGAATATGTGACTACATTGCTGAAATCTCATGATAAAACTTGAACGGATGAGGAGTTGCTTATATGGATGAACAAAGTGGTTTCTTGAGGTGAAATATACTACTGGTGAAGCTGCTATGAACATTGTTGGAATGACAAAGGGTTTAGAATATTATATACACTTAGTTGATAAAGAAACTGTAGGGTTTGAGAGGACTGACTCCAGTTTTTAAAGTTCTACTGTGGGTAAAATGCTATCAAACAGCATTGCATGCTACAGAGAAATCTTCCATGAAAGAAAGAATCCATCAGTGTGGTAAACTTCATTGTCTAATTTTAAGAAATTGCCACAGCCACCCCAACCTTCATCATCCATTATCCTAATGGGTTCACAATCATTAACATCAAGGCGAGACCCTTCGCCAGCAAAAAGATAGGACTTGCTGAAGGCCTAGACAATCAATAATTTTTTTAGCAATAAATTATTTTTAAATTAAGATCATACATTTTTTAAGATACAATGATATTGCACACTTAATAGACTACAGTCTAGTGTAAACATAACTTTTGTATGCACTGGGAATCCAAAAAGTTTATGTGACTTGTTTTATTGCGATATACACTTTATTGCAGTGGTTGGGAGTCAAACCTGTCGATATCTCTGAGGTATACCTGTACCTGGATGTATTTCGATGGGGCTGCCATGTAACTACATATTTTCCTTCTGTAAACATGTGTAAACATGTACATATGTTGTAATGATCCTCTTGTGTATTTTTTTAAAATCCCAGTTTCCAGTTACAGTCACACTTATGTGTATATTCATACACAAACACACATGCACACAATCACAGCACACGTGTGTGCCCACACACATCTATTTTCTCTTACACCCCTTATGCCAATTGTAGAGGATTATGCCAGTTTGCATTTTGCTCCTGCATGGGTTTGCCTGAGGGAAAAGATGGTAACTTTGACTAAGCTTGTCACTTTCTATCTGTTTCTCCTTTCCATGTTGCTGAGATGATTATTTCAAAAGCAATGCTAGTATTATCTCCGCAAGTATAGTTTTTATGCAGTTCTATTTAAATTACCTTAAAGGATTGGAAAACAATTTCGTAACTTTCATAAAAATGAGGAAAAATCAATATTTACTTTCCAAAATACATTAAATATAATGTTCTATTTTTTTTTCTGACAATTAACTAGTGACCTTGAGCAACTTTAACTTTTGGGCGTCTCCATTTATCTATAAAATTATGAACTAGACAAATGTAGTTCTGAGTTCTAGTGTCTCCTGTTCTGTCATTCTAATATGGTGTCCCAGTCTTCATTTTCTTGAATAAAATTTGATGTGTGGAAAATTGTATTTATACAGGAGTTCATTTTGGGGGTGATTATTTATTTTAGTGGAAGATTAGTCTCTTCCCAAAGATACTGGCTAAGTGACCAAGTAAGCATTCCCTCTTGTGCGTTACACTGTTAAAAGCAGTACACCACTTTTTGGATAACCACCACATCTAAGTCAAGGTATGTCTGCAGTGTTTTTCTTGCCTCCTGATTACAAATTTAACATTTCTTTTGGAAACTTTTCAGATTTACTTTTCAAGACAAAATAGACATAAAATTTGTACAAAGTTCAACATATCTCTAACTGAAAAAGTATTTAAGCCTTTGACTTCCAAACAGACATATACATTAAAAAATTTACATTTAACCTGGAGAATGCATGTTTTTTTCCTTATACTCCTCCCAGTCTTAGGAAGGATTGGGGATAAAAGGAACACTAGGCTGGGCGTGGTGGCTCATGCCTGTAATCCTAGCACTATGGGAGGCCGAGGCGGGCGGATCATGAGGTCAAGAGATCGAGACCATCCTGGGCAACATAGTGAAACCCCGCCTCTACTAAAGATACAAAAGTTAGCTGGGCCTGGTGGCATGTGCCTGTAGTCCCAGCTACTCGGGAGGCTGAGGCAGGAGAATTGCTTGAACCCGGGAGGCAGAGGTTGCAGTGAGCTGAGATTGTGCCACTGCACTCCAGCCTGGCGACAGAGTGAGACTCCGTCTCAAAAAAAAAAAAAAACACTCAATTTCAGTTTCCAATAATGTAATAAATTTATATGACTTTTTAATATTTCTTCTTTTGTGTTTTTAAAAGCAGGGTTTTCTTGAATTTTATTTTATTGTCTGGAATGTATCCTTAGTATTCCTGTTCATTTTCATAAGAATAGTGATTGCTTTTGAGTTCCACATGTACATCAGTGAAGTCTTATTCGTTGGTTAGAATTTGGGGGACAAATACCAAGAAAGGTCATGCATAGTCTTATTTGCTTGTTTGACTTTTGTGGGTACTTGGACAAATTTGGCAGCTAATTGACTGTAAATTTGAAATATAGTGATTATTCGAGTAACTTAAAAAATTTAAGAGGTTCTTTTATATAATATAGATAAATTGAATGCTTTTAAAAGTGGGAATTGGCTTTCATTGTCATTCTGCAGTTCTGATAAATGTCTTAGAATGTAGTAGTTTTTATTGTTACTGTACATACTAAGCCTTGTAAAAATAATGCTGTTACAGTTAAGATTAGGTGTATGTGGTAAAACCTAATCAATTTATATTAAATACGGGGGAGAGTTTAGTTCTAATTACAGGCTTTAAAAAGTACAGCCTTTTTACGTGATTTAACTGTGTAACTCAAATTAAGTTACGTGTGTAACTTCTAGAGAATAAGCCTTAATATGTATGGAGAATATTTCTAAGTTACCTATGAAAACATCATAGGCCTCAATATATTAATACATTATAGTTATGTTATTTTTATTACATGACCCTTCTAATGTCTCAAAAATAGCTTTTTGTCATAATTTGGTAAATATCCAGTCATTGGACTAGTATCTCCTCAATTGGAAAGAACTGTAGTATGTAGGTGTATTTCATTCTAGCCTTTCAGCAAGTGATCTGTGGGTAATACTCCAGTTAGCACTCTATTTTTCACACTGGGGTTTTGCTGAATAATTCATTTATAACCATAGTTTTAAGTTAGGTGTTTCTTCTTGCAAAGCCTATCTTCCTGATAATCAGTGGTTATTCTGTATTTTTAATAAGAAAGAAGCAATGCCATTGTTACAACCAAGTCAGAATGAAGATCTAACCTACTTTGGTGATAGAAATACTATTTTCTAGTTTTTTTAGCTTGCTTCTCAGATGACCTACTTTTTTTAGTGGATATCATGGTTTTTACTTCTCATGTTATTTCTGTAGGATATTTCTGTTTCTTATAACCAAGCTGTTTGTAATAAGCTTCTATGCTAAACTGAAATGATTATTTAATATTTTCATTATGGAAAGTTTAAAAGTAATTCACAACATAATTATAAGGTCATACATATATGGTACACTACAAAATTTTATTCAGCTTACATTAAAGTAATGACATGATTCTGAGTGAAAGAAATATGTCTACATGGTAGTAACTAATAGAGAAAATTACTCTTATAATAAATTAGAATATTCAAAGTATGTATTTATGGGGTACAATGTGATGTTTTGATATATGGATACATTGTGAAATGATTAAATCAAGCCAATTAACATATCAGTCACTTCACCTTTTTTGTGGTGAGAACATTTAAGGTCTATTCTTGGATTAGCAATTTTGAAATATACAACACATTATTAATAACTGTAGTCACCATGCTGTGCAGCAGATCTCTAAAACTCCTCATCTATCTGAAACTTTGTACCCTTTGCAGTATCTCCCCTTTTCCTATCCTGCCCCTCTCCATTCCCTTCTTCTCTCCCACCTCTGGTAACCACCATTCTACTCTACATCTGTGAATCTGACTTTTGTAGATTCCACATACAAGTGAGATCATGCAGTATCTGTCCTTCTGTGTCTGCTTTCTTTCACTTAGCATAATGTCCTCCGGGTTCATCCATGTTGTTGCACATGACAGAATTTCCTTCTTTTTTTAGACTGCATAGTATTCCACCACATATATTTACCACATTTTCTTTATCCATTTCCACCATGTGCCATTATCTTTTAAAGTTAAACATGCACTTGCCCCATAAACCCAGCTGTTCTCCTCGGAATACATTTAGAAGAAAGGCACGCACAGCACACATGTGGGAAACAGAGACATATGTTATATAAAAAGGTTCATAGCAAAATTAGTCACAGCAAACCCAAATCAATCCAAATGTTTATGAACAATAGAATTGAAATTTATGCATATGTATGCATGAATATATGTGTATATATGTATATTTATACACAATGGAATTCTATATGGAAATGAAAAGGAATGAGCCACAACTACAAGTAATAAAATAGTTTGATCTTACCAACCTAATATTGAAAGAAGTAGGACTCAAAAATGCCCACTTAACAATTCCACTTGTATAAATTTTTTAAGCAGACAAAACCAAGCTGTAATGATAGCACTCAGGGGATTAGGTACTTCTGGGGCACAAAGTAGTGCCTAGGAAGATGAGTAAAGGGCTCCTGGAATGCCAGCAAAGTTCTGGTTCTTGCCTTGGTTTTTAGCAACTCGGGTGCTTACTTTGTGACAATTACATGAAAGTTTTATATATTAGTGCACTTTTCTGTATTTTTGGTTTTTGGCCCAATAAGTAGAGATTTTTTAAAAAAGAAACATTACGAAAGACTCTTTCCAAAAAAGAATAATCAAAATATTTTTTAAAGTTAAGTTTGTTTTTATCATACTATTAAATTTGTTTTACAAATTTATAATAGTGGGTTGTTGGAGAATATATAATGTGAGCATATATGATAAAATATAAATAGTAACTTTACAGGATTGACCTTTCAATAACTTAACCTGTGTATGTTAAGGCTCAGATACAAAAGTGGGTCCTCTCTTACAGTCTTTCCTTCTAGACGATGTGAAGAGATGCTTGGGAAATATTGATGTGATTTCTGCTGTTGAGAAGCTTGCCATTCAAAATCACATACTTGAATGAAGTGTCTTCATTCCGAGACTTCCTAAGACCTAATTTCTGGGTTGTTCCAGAAAATTCTGATATTAGGCTATAATATTCATTTAGTTAAGTATAAAGAGAAGAGTTAGGGAAACTTTTTTTGAGGTCACTTTTAGGTGCTAATTTAAAATGATTCTTTGTAACAGTCAGATTCATGCTACTTTCTATGTTTTTAACTTCCCATAAACTTTTTTTAATAGGTGGAGAGAGAACCTGTGGAGTACATGAACTTATCTGTATTAGAAAAGGTAAGTCATTGCTCTGCATGGCTATTTACATACTAAATGAATACTTCCAAAGTGTATAATAGATTTTAGTAGGATGGCGGATAATTTGTATTTATGAAGTGTAAATTTTAGTAAATATTAACATTTGTCTTACAGACTTAAGCATTAGTAAAGTGCATATTACTTATTATGTGATTATTGAGAGTTGTTGCTTTATATTTAGTTTTGATGGGCTAATAAAGCCTGGTTTCTAGCATATTGGTTGTTAGACATGGTGAAGAGGCAAAGAATGGAGGGTTTGATTTTTGTTCCCTTTCAGAATCTGGAATCTGAGTGCATGCTGATCTCCCATTGACTTCTGTTCTATTACTGTACCCCATCAGAGAGATGTGAGGAGTTGGTTGAAATTCAAATCGGGAACATATCCAAAGACCACAACATCCTTTGACACCAACAACTGTCTATGCTTCCTTAGAAGGAGCCACCTGACAACTGGGTGGTTCAACAAAGTGGCCCCAGGAAAGGTAATTCAGTTACTAGGTGGGAGGCAAGGAATCAGGTATTCTCTAGATTTGGAAGAATCAGGAGAACCTTGGGAGTCCCCACAACTCCTTATAAGTAATCACAAATCTATGAAATCATATGAAGGAAAGATATTCCTGGGGAGGTCAGGGGAAGAAATCCTCATAAATTTACTACTCTTGTCTCTTTTTAAACTTGGGGCACTTTCTTTTCTTGCATCTCTCTTCAGACTCACTTGCCCCTCCTGAGTCTAGCCAACTAACAGCACTCCTCCCATCCCTAATATTTCACTTTAAGGAAGTTTGGAGCAGTGTCATTATTTGTGATACCTGGGTATGAGAGGCATGGCAGGAAAATATCAGCATGTTTTCAGTAAGTCTTTAACAGCTCTGAAAAGCCTCAGCTTCTTTAGACTTGAAAAAATTTTTAATCCTTTTTAGGTGAATTTATGTGACTATTGTTGACATGGTCATACTAGTTTATCTGTGAGTCATTGCATACAATTGCTGTTCATTTAAAATCTTCTTCCTTTATTAAAGTATAGTTTTTCCATATACCTTTCCTCTAGTACCACAAAGGAGGAAATTGAAGTCAGTTTCATGAAATCTCAAATTTAGGATTGTGATTCTCATGCTATAACTATTGTTGATTTGTGCTTCTTACCTAAAATGGAGGTAGGGGATAGACAAATTTATGCATTGTTTTATTTCTCTACATAAACATTTGTAGTTTTCTGCTGTATACATAAATCCAGAATTACTAAAAATGTTTGAAATAATTTTATAGTTATTATCCAGTCCCACTAAAACTTTTTAAAACTTTTAATTTGCTGGGATAGCCAAAGACACAGTAAAGCTTAGTTGGAGTCAAAAGCTATTAAAGGTGTGGTCAGGTGAAAAGAGAATCAAAACAAGAGTAGAGACAGCTAGAAGCAAGAAAAGGAAAATGTTTAGAGGGTCTTTTGTGGCTACAAAGGGAGCAGAAAGCTACAATGGAGAAAATTAGATAAGGATAGAGGATGGTGTGAATATATCTTTTTTTTTCATGGCTTTTTTATTGTTGTTGTTCTTTATTGCTGTCTCTATTCCTATCCGGGTAGTTCTCAAAGTATGCTTTGCCCAGATTTCTCTATATTAGTCTAGCTTTTTTGCTGTCTTCCGTTTATCTACAGAATTTTAATTCTGCATTTAAAAATTTATTCACACCATAGGCATGAAGTGGAAAAGTATCTGAATCTCTGTTTATCCTCTCAGCATTCAGTACAGTGAATATTTCATAAGTATTTGAATATTTTTGGAATTAATGCTCTGAGCTAAAGCTTTTTGCATTTTATCCTAGACTTCCATAGAGTAGATCATATGAAAGTTATGTAGAGTAATTATAATTAGTATCAATGATTATTCTAATGAAATGACATCTCTGACATCACAACCTCCTTTATTCTTTCTCTCTTTTTTTTTTTTTTCCAGAGACAGATTCTCACTGTCTCCCAGGCTGGAATGCAGTGGTACGATCTTGGCCCACTGCAACCTCTGCCTCCTGGGTTCAAGCTATTCTCATGCCTCAGCCTCCCAAGTAGCTGGGATTACAGGCGCATGCCACCATGCCCGGCTAATTTTTCTATTTTTAGTAGAGATAGGGTTTCACCATGTTGGCCAGGCTGGTCTCGAATTCGTGGCCTCAAGTGATATGTCCACCTCGGCCTCCCCAAATTCTGGGATTACCACCATGAGCCACCGCACTCGGCTAGACATCACAACTTCTTTTTACCTCTTTGACTGTTTCTGTCTCTTTTGCTAGCCTCTCTCCCCTGTCAGACCTCTGATTATATCATGTACCAGGGGTTTGGTCCTGGGCTTACTTCGTTTTTCCATCTTTTACTCTGTTTGATTTTATCTAGTTCTGTTGTTTTAAATGCCACACAAATTTATAAATCCAGTTCTTGGCTGTCTGAGCTCCCTCATCTTTTATCAAATGAGTTACTTGATGTTTCTATCTGGATGTCTGTTACAATAACAACTTGACACGTTTAAAATGCAAGTCTTGATTTTCTTACCTGAGCCTATACCTTCCTCAGTTTTCTCCATCTCAGCTAATAAATAGCACTGTCTACCCAGTTACGCAACTCCTAACTTAAGAATCATCCTGTATTTCCCCATTATTATTGTCCACATTTAATTTATTAGTAAGTTCAATCAGTTCTACCTGCAAAGTATATTTTTTAATTTATCCTCTTTTTTTTCATCCTGCTGCTGTCATTGTAGTCTAGTTCTCTGTGTTTTTTCCTAGATCACTGTCATAGTTTTCTAACTGGTTTCCCTACTTGGCATTTTTATCTCCTTTCACTAAGTATTAGTGATTTTCAAAAATGTAAATCAGGCCAACCACTTTGCTTGTTGAAATTTTTCTATGGATTCTCATTATACCTCAAATAAAAGTATCTTACCCTGATCTACAAAGACATTATAGTATCAACTCGGAGTCCAAAATGTCATCTGAATATCATCAGTTCAAAAGTCTCATTATCTAAATCACTTACATTATGTATGGGTGAGACTCTGGGTGTAATCCATTGTGGTTCAAAATTCCTTTCTATCTGTGGACCTGTGAAAATAGAAACCAAGTTACCCTCCTATGCATTTCTTCAAATCTCATTTCCCTAAGTTGTGTTTCAATTTTGGTTAAGTCAGTTTTCAGAACTTACATTTTTATAATCAATATTGTTTGCAGTAAAGCCATATTATATCATAATTATATTTCCTTTTTTATATAGTTTTCATCTTAAAATATCCCTTCTTTCAGATTGTAAGCACCCATCTTAACTCCTCATTAACCATGGTTCAGAATCCACTTTGATTTCTCTGTCATTCTTATTTTTCTTCTGCTACCACCCTTCCCGCTATATTGAAGTATACGTCTCCTATATCATATATCCCTAGAAAAGATTTTTCTGCTTCCCTAGGAAATAATTAGTCAATATATTGTATTACTCAAGGTACTGTTAGCTGCTGCACTGAACAAACCCCAAATAATGACTCAAACAGGATAGAGGTTTTTTTCTCTCTTTTGTGAAGTTTAAATCAGGTATTTCTAGTTGCCATAGAACACTCCTTCAGCAGTGATTTAGGGATCCAGGCTCCTAGCTTGTGGCTCTGGCATCTTCAGCACATGGCTTTGGAGGTTACTATGTTCATCTTCATTAAGCAGGGAGTGTGGGGGAAAAAAAGGGGAAAGGAAGATTGTGTGTAGGAGATTTTTATGGGATAGGCCTGGAAGGAAAGTACATTCCTTAAGATTACCATGTCAATAATTCAGTCACAGGGCTACATCTATAGTAACTTCAAAACAGGCTAGGAAGTGTTAGTGAGTCAGTGAGCCCAAGAAGTACAGCAACCTATAGTCTGCCATTTATCAATTAATCTACCCTAATATGAAGTGCTTTCCTTGCCATAGTCTTACATGCTCTATATATGCTAATGGTGACCATCTGGATAAATTTCTTCTAGAGGCAGGTATATAACTTAAAGGTGTGACTTCAGTGAGAAAATTTAAGGCTAGGTAGAAGGGGAAATTCATATGGAAAGATGTAATAGGGTTGTTTTGTTTTGTTTTGTTTTGGAGGGGAAGGGGTTGTGAATCCTCTGATTTTGTGATTGTCTTTTTTGTCTCTTAGGACCCTACACCCTTTTTTTTTCATTTCCCCTTCACCACCCGATTGCTGAAGGGCCTTTTCCCTTCTGCCTTTTTTTCTTCTGCAGAAGCTATGTACAAAGACTGCCTAACTACCCTGTTAAGTTATGCTTGAAACTAACTTATGCTGACTGAGTTATGCTGAAAGTAACTCACATGTACTTTCAGAGTTCCTTCCCTGTAGGCTGTGCTGTCATCTACCCAGTTTTGTTATTGCCGTTGTTAGTATTTTCAGATTTAACATGGACTTTCCTTTCTAACTTTAGCCCCCATTGCTGTCTTCTCTCTTCTCTCTCTCTCGTAGCTTTTCTCTTCCTTTGTTTACACCAAAGCCTTTCCCTTTTGTTTGGGTGGGGTGGGAGCACGAGAGATTGCACCTTATGATTTGGTAAGTTTTCTGTTTTTACTGATGTTTATTTTGAGATATTAGCATTCTCTGTATTCAGATTATTCTGAGGATATAGTTTTTATGTGGCTTTACTTTTTTTCTTTTTTTTTGAGACAGTCTCGCTCTTGTCACCCAGGCTGGAGTGCAATGGCGTGATCTCGGCTCGCTGCAATCTCCACCTCCTGGGTTCAGGGGATTCTCCTGCCTCAGCCTCCCAAGTAGCTGGGATTACAGGCATGCACCACCATGCCCGGCTAATTTTTGTATTTTTAGTAGAGACTGGGTTTCACCATGTTGGCTGGGCTTGTCTTGAACTCCCTACTTCAGGTGATCTACCCACTTCAGCCTCCCAAAGTGCTGGGATTACAGGCGTGAACCACCCTGCCCAGCCTGTAGATTTTTTCCTTCTTGTTTTGTAGATTTACTTTTTCCTTCTTGTTGTATCCAGTTTTGGGGAGGTAAAACTGGGAGACATGGAGTTAGGCAGATTCCATTTTTTTCAGATACTCAGAAATGTCTATGGTATGTTCATGAACAAAAATTTTAATGTTAATTTAGTCTAACTTCTTAATATTTTTTCTTTTCATTCTTTTCTCTTTCTCCCCCTCCTTCCTTCTTTCTCTCTGTCTTTCTAGTGCTTTTTGAGCTGTTTTGGGGAAATCCTTCCTTAACCCTAAGATCATAGCAATTCCGTTACTTTAAGAGATTTAGTCTTGCTTTTCATATTTATGTTATTAATCCATCTGAAATTGATTTTTTATATGGTTAAGAACCTAATTTCATTTTTTTAATGGTTAAGTAGTAGTTCCAGCACAATTTACTAAGTATTCCAAACATTTCCCACTGAAATGCAGTGCCACCTCTGCTACCTCTGTCAAGTTTTTATCAAGTTGGTCTATTTCTGTTCCATTAATCAATGTACCTATTCCCTAACAGTGTCACTATCTTAATTATTGAAGTGTTGTGATTCTTGTTATCTATTAGGACAAATTCTTCTTATTTTTCTTCTTCAGTAATGTTATAGCTATTTCTGGGCCTTTGATTTTCCATATAAAGTTCAGAATCAGCTTGTCAAGTTCCTTAAAAACAAAAAGCCTTTTTGGAATTTTAATAGGAATTACATTGAATCTCTAGATCTATGTGGAGACGATATCTTTAAAATACTGAGATTTCTTATTCTTGAACATGGTGTATCTTTGCATTTGTTTAATGCCTTTCAATAAGGTTTTGAAAATTCCTCTATAATGATCTTGCATTTTTTTAGATTTATGTTTAGATACCTTATATTTTTTGTTGCTATACTAAATGAAATTCGTTAAGGGAAATGCAATTAACTTTTCTAAATTAGTGTTATATGTAGCTATGTTGCTAAACTATTTAACTATTTCCATAGATATTTTGGGTTTTCTCAGTAGACAGTTATATCATCTTCAAATAATAAGTTTTTTAATCTTTTCTAGTTATACTTTTTATTTCTTTGGCAGCTTCCTGGGGAAAATAAACAAAATAGAACTAAAAGGATACTCTATAATCCTCTTCCAACTGCTTGACTAAGCATGATCTTATAAATGGACAATAACAAGTGTTGGCGAGGATGTGGAGGAATTGGAACTCCCATCTATTGCTGGGAATGTAAAATGGTACAGCAACTTTAGAAAACAATTACAAAGTTCCTAAAAAAAAATAGAGTTACCATATAACCCAGCAATTAATACTGCTAGGCCTATACCCAAGAAAATTGAAAACATATGTTTATACAAAAATTTGTAGATGAATATTCACAGCAAGATTATTCTTTTTTTAAATTTATTATTATTATTTTTTTGAGACAGAGTCTCACTCTGTCATCCAGGCTGGAGTGCAGTGGCGTGATCTCAGCTCACTACAACCTCCGCCTCCTGGGTTCAAGTGATTCTCATGCCTCAGCCTCCTGAGTAGGTGGGACTACAGGTGTGTGCCACCACACCCAGCTAATTTTTTGTATTTTTAGTAGAGATGGGGTTTCACCACATTGGCCAGGCTGGTCTCAAACTCCTGAGCTCAGGCAATCTGCCCGCCTTGGCCTCCCAAACTGTTGAGATTACAGGCGTGAGCCACCACACCCGGCCTGGCAACGTTATTCTTGATAGCCAAAAGGGAAACAACCTAAATATCCATCAACTGATGAATGAATTAAATAAAATGTGGCATATTGACACAGTGGAATATTATTCATCCACCAGAATAAATGAATTATTGATACAAGCTACAACATTGGTGAACCTTGCCAACAGAGAAAGAAACCAGACATAAAAATTGTTTCACTCGCAAACAGTGAAAGAAACCAGACACAAAAGGCCACATATCATGTATATAGGATTTCATTCATATGAAATGTGTAGAATAGACAAATCTATAGAGACAGAACATAGATTAGTAGTTGCCAGGGCTAGGGGAGGGGAGAATAGGGAGTTACTACTAATAGGTATGGGTTTTTCTGGGGAGTGATGAAAATATTCTGAAATTAGATAGTGGTTGCACAACTCTATGAATATATTACAGAACACTGAATTATGCACTTTGGTGAATGTTGTGGCATATGTGTTTTATCTCAATAAAAAAAGCGTCTGCTTACATAGTGAGTTTTATTCTTAACCAGCTCCTCTTTTTATGCAAAAGTTTCCATTACCTGAAATTCTATTCCTTTGATATTTATTACTTTAGATTTTTTATGTCTTTATGAACCTAAATTAAAATAATGATATGCCTGAGACAGGTGAATGTATATACTAATATATGTTAATATGTCCAAGTCATATTAACCTGGAGGGTGGTTTGTAGTTTTATGGCACAGGACTCTCTATTGTCCTGGCCTATTAGTATTTTTATATACTAAATCTATCTTTATGGCATTACTTTATTGGGTATTCACAAATCAACATGTAATATCCCAGTATGAATGGCAGTCTGTTTTTGGAAATTGTAGAAAAAAGTCTCTGTAGTGGTTAGAGAATAGGAGATGATCAGTGGTTAACTTTGTTTTTTCAATTTAGGAAAAATAAATATATGCCTTTTTTTAAACATTGAAAATAAAAATGACTTTACTGAATCCATTGGGAAGATGTATAGAATGTTTAAATTTATTACCTTCCATGTTTTTCCTTGACTAGAAGGAAGTCACTTATTTAAACCACTAAAATATAAATATCTGAGCATATTTGAGAAATAGTAGCAAAAAACAGCTTTCCAATCTTTTCTCCCATTTGAATCAAAGATTGTCTTGAAGCTAGGTTGGCCACCTGTGGTTTTTTGAATGCTGCTCATCACTAGTCTAGGTAGCCTTTCAAATATGATCCGAAATAATAAACCTCATCAATTAACATCTTAAAGTGAGTAGTTGTAACTCATCTGAGAGCAAAGGCTTGTATGATTGTTGACATAGGATGTGCATGGTAGTGGTAGGTTTACAAATTATGGGGCTACAATAGATATCCTATATCTGTTCAATTCTGATAGTTTCTTATCCTAATACATAACTGTATTAGAATAATACACTTATAAGAGAGTACAAGGTGTGAGAGATGAAAATTTGGAGACAACAGGTAGATTACTGTTACTAAAGCTAGGGGAGAGGCTGAACTTGGTGCTGCTTTTCCAAACTTATGGCAATTAAGGGAATGTTTCTGCATGTGCTGTTCTTTTCCTTTGAGTTGGCTGATGTCACTTTATGGACAAATGGAAATCCAGTTAGGTGTTTATATTTTACTGTCTACACCCTCGGATTCTCCCTTTTTGCTGGGTAGACAGATTTGTGCTTTCTTTCTCTTCCCCCTCAAGTGCATCGTGGGCTCTTCCTTCTTTTGGTAGTGTTTCAGTTATTTCTTTTGGGAACATAGTAGAAAAGTGTCTGAAATGTAGGTGACAATTTTTCATGTAGAATTTGTGAAGGTGTAGAACTATATTCTGACTTTTTGGGGGCTGGGATAGGTACAGATTTCTTGCTTAGTGACCAAACTTGACTTTCAAGGCTTTTATAGTTCTAATTGTCCAGAGTAGAAGAACAATAAAGTAACTTTTCTTTTTTCTAGTATTTATTAGAGCTAGTATTTAGTAGAAAGAGTACATGATTATGAAATAAGGAGATATGGATTAAGTTTCCCAATTTGCTTCATCCAGGCTGGGTAACTAAAGTCATTAAATTCTTTGAGTCTCAGTTTCCCCCTCTGTAAAATGGTGACATTATTAAGGCTTATCTGTACTAATCTCACAAGACTTCTCTGAGGATCAAGTGAAATAAAGTGTATGAAACCCTTTGTAGTCAGTAAACTGGTATGTACATATTATTATTATCTTACTGAAGAAGGTAGGGACAGTCTTGGAACTTGTAGACTCTTACTAGAGATGAATCAGATGTATTTTTTTTTTGTATGAATTCTGGAAGGCATGACCTGATTTTTTCTATTGTTTATTCTTTCAGTGGTTTGACACTCAGGACTTTGAATGTATGAGACCTACCTACTGAGTTACTAATGTTAGCCTTCTAAAATGTTTCTATAATTCATTTAAATAATGGCATATGTCTATAGGAAACAGTTTGCTGATCTCTGAACAACGAAGTGGCTCCTAGTATGAAAAATCCTGATCATGAATCTTTGGGTGTTGGCATATAAGCAGACCTCCATCTTCAATTTCTATGCAAATCCAGTAAAATAATTTTTCTCTTATTGTTAGATCAACATGCAAATTCTAAAATGAGAAATTCTAAAAATTATGTAAAAATTATAATTGTCTTACTTTTCTTTCTTTCTTGTGACTAAACAGTATGTAATGAATAAAGTGCTCTTTTTCTCAGTGTATAATTTAGTTTTAATTATTTTAAAAAATATTGTCATAATATGATTCTCTTATTTATGCCATTTTCGTTTTTTCTGGTTCTTAGCGTAGATATCTTTTTTTTATATATATATATAGCTCAGTGACTTCTAGACACTACTGTTAAGGGATATTCTTGAATTGAGGGGACCAATAGATTTTTGTAACTGCCCTGTTGGTGTACATTGTAAGCTTTTTTTTTCTTCTTTAACCTGGCTCAAGAAATTTCAATTAGGTTGTGAATTTATAGAGCCTCGGTAGTAGCAGAGAATAGAGCTTTAGCTACTATGATTAACATGACAGTTTCATTTACAATTTAGTAGAAGGTGGAGATCATGGAGCTATATTTTCTTTGATTCGTTCTCAGCTTCTTTGAACTTCTTAATGAGAGGTTTATGTGCACCCAGAGGGAGGGTGCCTACCGCATTGACTCATGCTTGTTATTTTTAATTTTATATTCCAAATTCAGGCTGCCATAAATTAACATATACGCTAAGAGTAAAGCAGACCCCCAGTCTTTGAAGGGGAATGAAGTTCAAGAGATAAAGGGAAAGATTATATTATGGAGGTCATAGGAGTACAAGAATCTAGAGTAATCCAAATAAAAATGGAGAGCAAATGGGTGATGAAGACTATGAGAGCCCATCCTGTACCTCACTAAGTTCTCCTTTACTCTGAAAAAGCCATCTAAAAGTGTCATTTTCTTCTTCCCTTATTTCTTCCTCTAATGGCTGTATGAGTTGGAGTTTTGCAAGTGTAAAACTAAGGTGTTTACAGAATGATGTCTGTGGACCAACTTCAGAAATTTAAAGCCTGTTTGTTTTTCCTAACCCTTCTGCATTATTCAGTTGAGTTATGGACTTAATAAATCACATTGAAATGGAACAGAAGTTCATTTATTGCTACCGGAACAGAAAGACTAGAATGTTGTTTATCTGCCTGGCCCTTGGTTCAAGGGAGGTGATCTAGGCATTCTTTTACTCTGAATAGACATTATAGTTCAGATGCCCAGGGTGTGTGTAAAAAAGAAAATCTTTTTTTATTCTTGAGAGAAGAGGAATAGAGATGGATTGCTGAGATGGTCCTGACAGAATTGGTGTCATACATACCATCCACTATAGTTTCTTTGGTAAGGGTCCAGGTATTATACAAAATGTCCCATTGCCAATTTAGTTTAGATTTCTCTCTCCTAAGGTCTTTTCCATTGGAAGGAGGGTAGGGAAGAGGGAAATTTTCTTGTTTTATCAACCTATTTCATTCTAAGACTTAGGCAGAGGAATGGGATATATACTAAGTAATTTTGGCTTATGTATTTGTTTTACCTAAATGAATTATATATGTAAAAATATGTATGGCTGGGATCTTTTGATCAATAAAATTAATTTTCTGGTTATTTATTCTGGCCTGTCATTTTCATGAGGAGAAAAAATATCTACAGAGGACAGTTTTCATACATCAACTGAAATATGACTCATCTTTTCTACATTTCAACCCCAGAAGTTAGGTAAACACAAACAAACCTTTAAGAAATATATCTACAAAATGAGAGTGATGAATCTGATGAAATGACAGATTTGGTGATGATTTCCTCAAAGAATTGGTTGTTCACATCAGTGCATCTCTAATTACTGTAAAATATGGGCTTCTTTAAACATGTAAGTGTTTACATCCACTTGTAATTTATTTCAGTCAGAGGTGTGAGGGAAGGATCCAGCTTTATATTAATCTCTAACTGATCAGCCAGCTATACAATACCAGTTATTGGATAATTCATTTTCCCTGACAATTTGCAATACTACTGTTTTCATATGCTAAGTTGTTATACACGCTTGGGTCAGTGATATGGTTTGGCTCTGTGTCCCCACCTGAATCTCATCTTGAATTGTAATCCTCATTATCCCCACATGTCAAGGGAGGGACCAGGTGGGAGGTGATTGGATCATGGGGGCAGGTTCCCCCATGCTGTTCTCGTGTTAGTGAGTGAGTTTTCACGAGATCTAATGGTTTTATAAGAGTTCGGCAGTTCCTCTTCTCTCCCACCTGCCGCTGTGTAAGATGTGCCTGCTTCCCCTTCTGCAATGATTTTAAGTTTCCTGAGGCCTTCCCAGCCGTGTAGAACTGTGAGTCAATTAAACTTCCTTTCTTTATAAATTATCCAGTCTTGGGCAGTTCTTTATAGCAGTGTGAAAATGGATTAATACAGTCAGTTTCTGTAGTTAAGATTTTTTTCTTTCTATTCATCTATATGTGTTTTCTGGAACCACTATTACACTGCTTTTATTATTGAGGCTTTTGTTGCCTAGTAGAAAAGGGTTTCTTGCATTAGTGTTCATTTTAAACATTTTCTGGTTATTCCCTTATGTTTATTTTTCGATGAACTTTGGAATAAAGTATCCTCTCCTACAATTTATATTCCAAAATAATCCTTTTTCCCAGAAAGAATCCTAATGCAATTGAGTTTCCTTGTGCTCTCTCCCTATCATGAGGGGTCACACAGAGCACACTTCCTCAGCAATGAAAATGCAGCAACATGTATACCATCTTCCTGCCTAGGAAAGTCCATTAGAGACTCAGAGCCCAAGGTTTTCATGGAGGGCTTGCCATGTAAGCACCCTCTTCCTAGCTTGCAAAAAAAAATGCAGATTTCCAAAAGGAATATATGAGTTCAGCATAAACCATAGTATTTATACAAACAGTCTAGGCACAATAAACTACTTTTATCAATTAATGTTGACTGGGACCACTCTGAGGGTCAAGTTCCCAGATGCCAGCCAAGGGCCAACCTTATAAGCAGGCTTTTCTAAGGATAGCAGTCTCAGGTCTGCTATGTTCACTTTTTTTCTGTACAGAAGGTCAGTGCCAAAGAAGGGCATGTTTTGACGAAGGCTATTTTAAAATAAAATTTTAGATTCAAGAGGTACATGTTCATGTTTGTTACATGGATATATTAATATACTGTGTGATGCTGAAATCTGGGCTTCTGTTGGATCCATCACCCAAAGAGTAAACAGAATACTCAATAGTTATTCAACCCTTTTCCCCCTCCCTTTCTCTTCTCTTTTAGAGTCCCCGTGTCTATTGTTTCCATCTTTATGTCTGTGTGTACTCAGTGAGAAGAAGTGATGTTTGATTTTCTATTTCTCCATTAATTCACTTAGGATGATGGCCTCCAACTACATCTATATTGTTGCGAAGGACATGATTTCATCTCTTTTGTGGCTGCATAGTATTCCATGATATATATGTACCACGTTTTCTTTATCCAGTCAATTGTTGATGGGCACCTAGTTGATGCCATGTCTTTGCTATTCTGAATAGCACTGGGATAAACATATAAGTGCGTGTATCTTTTTGGTAGAACAGTTTGTTTTCCTTTGGGCATATACCCGGTAATGAGATTGCTGGGTTGAATGGTAGTTCTATTTTTAGTTCTTTGAGAAATCTCCAGACTGCTTTCCACAGGGACTGAACTAATTTACAGTCCCATCAACAGTCCGTAAGCATTCCCTAAGGAAGACATTTTGAGTTAGTTTTTATGTATGATGTGAGATACATATCAAAGTTCACCTGATATGGATATCTAATTGTTTCAGCCTCATTTTTTGAAAAAAACTATCCTTTCTGTGAAATGCCTTTATCCTTTTGTATCAAATCAATAGATTATATATTTATCGGTTTATTTTTGAACTTCTTTTTTTTTTTTTAGATAGGGTATTTCTCTGTGGCCAGGCTGGAGTACAGTGGCACCATCTTGGCTCACTGCAACTTCCGCCTCCTGGGTTCAAACGATTCTTCTGCCTCAGCATCCCAAGTAACTGGGACTACAGGTGCGTGCCCACCACACCCAGCTAATTTTGGTATTTTTAGTAGAGACGGGGTTTCACCATCTTGGCCAGGGTGGTCTCGATCGCTTGATCTCATGATCTGCCTGCCTCAACCTCGCAAAGTGCTGAGGTTACAGGCATGAGCCACCGCGCCCGTTCTATTTTTGAACTTTATCCTGTTCCATTGATCTGTTTGTCTGCCTTGTTGCCAATACCAAAGTGTCTTTATTACTATAGCTTTATAACCATTCTTGAAGTGCAAGTCTATAAATTTTATTTGTTTTCAGATTCATTCGCTCTTCCAGACCCTTTGCACATCTGTGTGAATTTTGGCTTCAGTTTATCAATTTCTACAAAATAGCCTGGTGGAATTTTGGATGGGACTGTGTTAGAAAAAAACACCTGTAGATAAGCTGGATAAAATGGACATTTATTTTAATATTATTGAGTCTACAGATCCATGAACCTAGTGTATATTTCTATTTAGTTCTTCTTTAATTTTCTTTAGATATATTTTGTAATTTTCAGTGTATAAGTCTTAAACATTTGATCAGATATATCCCTAAGCATTTCATATTTTTTAATGTTGTAAATAGAAATTTTAAATTTACATTTTTAGTGGTTCATTGATACTATATAGAAATACAGTTACGTTTTATACATTATTTTGTATGCTGCAACCTTGCTAAATGCACTCGTTCTAGTAGCTTATTTTGTAGATTCTAAAGAAATATTTACGTAGATGACCGTGTCTATGAATAATGACAGTTTTACTTCTTCCTTTCCAATCTGGATGCCTTTTCTTTCTTTTTCCTGCCTTATTTCACTGACTAGAACTTCTAGTACAATGTTGAATAGAAGTAGTGAGAATGAGTATCTTTGCTGGTGGTCTCAAGGGAAAGCATTTAGGGTGATCTCAAGGGAAGAGCATTCAGTCTTTTGCCAGTAAGTATGATGTTAGATGTTTTTGCCTGGGTGAGGAACTCCCTTTTTATTCCTAGTTTTCTGAAAATTTAGAAGGAGTGATTGTTGGAATTTTCCCAAGAAAATGCTTTTTCTGTATCTACTGATATCATATGATTTTAAAACTTTTTTTAGTTTGTTTACATGATGAATCACATGTTAAACCAACCTTACATTTATGAGATAAATTCCACTTGTTCATGATGGATTATCCTTTTACTATATTGTTGGAGTGGATTTGCTAAAAATTTGTTAAGACTTTTCGTGTGTCAGTAGGGATGCTGGTTTATTTTGTTTTCTTTTCATGCCTCTTTCTAGTTTTAGTATCAGGATGATACTGGCCTGAGAGAATGAATTGGGAAGTATTCCCTCCTCTTGAATTTTGTGAGAGAGTTTATATATAGTTGGTATTATTTCTTTCTTAAATGTTTGGTACAGTTCACTAGAGAAGCCACCTAGGCCTTGGTGGCATAAACCTTCTTTATGGGAAGGTTTTTAACTGCAGACTTAATTTTTAAAAAAATATATAGGCCTCTTCAGGTTATCTATTCCTGAGTGAGCTTTTATTATTTCTGACTTTCAGGGAATTTGTTCATTTCATCTAAGTTGTTGGATTTATTTGTCTGAAGTTGTTAATAATCTTTTTTATCCTATTAATATCTGTAGACTCAAATGAAGATAATCTATTTCATTTCTGATATTGATAATTTCTGTCATCTCTATTTTTTCACTGATCATTATAGGTAAAGGTTTATTGGTTTTCTTGGTGTTAAAGAGTTAGGTTTTTGTTTCATTGATTTTGCCTATTGTGTATCTGCTTTCTAGTTAATTGATTTCTGTTCTGATCTTTATTATTTCCTCTCTTCTGCTAACTTAGGGTTTTATTAGCTCTTCTTTTTCTGGTTTAAGATGTTTTTCAACTCTTATCAAGTAGCACATATCATGTAATGCCCACTCTAGAATTCTGAAATTAAATTCATAGAAAACATTACCTGCTCCTACACTAAATTTTTTAAAAAAATCAGTATATTGAACTAACTATAATATAACTGAGGAATAAAAGGAAAGGAATTTATAATGCAGTGTTAGCTATTTCAGTATGTAAACAATCAGGTGAGACTGTACTATGGCAAGAAACAGTAACACAATCAGGTGCTTATATCTATGCATAAGTTCACTGGGACTGTGACAGAATGTAGCCTCATCTTAGGTCATTGACTGAGACCTTGTTTTCTAAAATAGACATTGAGTGCTATGCATAGTCCTATACTGACATATCACTATTGACCAGAGTTCATAGTTTTACATTAGGGGTCACTCTTGGTGTTCTACAGTATAAGGGTTTTAACAAATGTGTAATGACGTGTATCCACCATTATAGTATCATATGGAGTAGTTCCATACTCCATATGGATAGTACTCCATATGGAGTAGTATCATATGGAGTAGTTTCATATGGTAGATACTATATGATATTATAGTATCATATGGAGTAGTTTCATATGGAGTAGTTTCATCATATGGAGTAGTTTCATCATATCATATGGAGTATGCTCCGCATATTCATCCCTTTCCCACCTCCACCCAACCCTTGGCAGCCACTGAATTTTGTACTGTCTCCATAGTTTTTCTTTTCCAGAATGTCATATAGTTGGAAACATACAGTATGTAGGCTTTTCAGATTGGGTTCTTTTACTTAGTAATGTGGATTTAAGATTCCTTCATGTCTTTTCATGGTTTAGTAGCTCATTTCTTTTTTTTTTTTTAATAATTTAAACATTTATTGTAGATTCAAGGGGTACATGTGCAGGTTTGTTAAATGGGTATTTTGTGTGATGGTGAGGTTTAGGGTACCATTGATGCCACCACCCAGGTAGTGAACATAGTATCCAATAGGTAGCTTTTCAACCATTGCCTCCCTTTCTTCCTCCCCACTCTTATAGTCCCCAGTGTCTTTTGTTCTCATCTTTATGTCCCTATGTACCCAGTGTTTAGCTCCCACTTATAAGTGAGAATATGTGGTATTTGGTTTTCTGTTTCTGTGTTAGTTCACTTAGGATAAGGGCCTCTAGCTGCATCCATGTTGCTGTAGAGGACGTGATTTCATTATTTTTTATGGCTGTGTAGTATTCCATGGCGTTTATGGACACATTTTCTTTATTCAATCCACTGTTGATGGGCACCTAGGTTGATTCCATGTCTTTGCTATTGTGAATAATGCTGTGGTGAACATATGTGTGCATATGCCTTTTTTGGGAGAATGATTTATTTTCTTTTGGAGATACCTGGTAATGGGATTGCTGCATCGAATGGTAGCTCTGTTTCAAGTTATCTGAGAAATCTCAGAGTTGCTTTCCATGGTGGCTAAACTAATTTACATTACCATCCACAGTGTATAAGTGTTCCCCTTTTTCTGCAGCCTCACCAGCATCTGCTAATTTGTTTTTACTTTTTAATAATAGCCGTTCTGACTAGTGTGAAATGGTATCTCATTGTGGGTTGTTTTTTCTTTCTTTTTTTTTTTTTTTTTTTGAGATGGAGTCTTGCTCTGTTGCCCAGGCTGGAGTGCAGTGGCGTGATCTCGGCTCACTGCAACCTCTGCCTCCTGGGTTCAAGTGATTCTCCTTCCTCAGCCTCCCAAGTAGCTGGGACTACAGGCGCGTGCCACCACACTGGGCTAATTTTTTGTATTTTTAGTGTAGACGGGGTTTCACCGTGTTAGCCAGGATGGTCTTGATCTCCTGATCCACCCGTCTTGGCCTCCCAAAGTACTGGGATTACAGGCGTGAGCCACCGTGCCTGGCCCTCATTGTGGTTCTGATTTTCATTTCTCTGATGATTAGTGATATTGACCATTTTTTCATGTTTGTTGGCTGCTTGTATGTCTTCTTTTGAGAAGTGTCTGTTTATGTCTTTGCTCACTTTTTAATGGGGTTGTTTTCTGTTTGTTGAATTGTTTATTTCTTATAGATTCTGGATGTTAGATCTTTGTCAGATACATAGTTTGCAAATATGCAAATATTTTCTCCCATTCTGCAGGCTGGCTGCTCATTGTGTTGATTACTTCTTTTACTGTGCAGAAGCTTTTTAGTTGATGTAGTCCCATTTGTCTATTTTTGTTTTTGTTGCATTTGCTTTGGGGGTCTCAGTCATGAATTCTTTGTCTAGCCCAATGTCCAGAGGAGGTTTTCCTATATTTTCTTTTAGAATTTTTATAGCTTCAGAATTTACATTTAAGTCTTTAATCCATCTTGAGTTAATTTTTGTGTATAGTGAGAGATAGGGGTCCAGTTTCATTCCACATATAGTAATCCAGTTTTTCCAGCTCCATTTATGAATAGGGTGTCCTTTCCCCAGTGTATGTTTTTGTTAACTTTGTCAGAGATCAGTTGGCTATAGGTACGTACCTTTATTTCTGGGTTGTCTGTTCTGTCCTCTTGGTCTATGTGTCTGTTTTTGTATCAGTACCATGCTGTTCTGGTTACTATAGCCTTATACCATTTAGTTTAAAGTCAGGTAATGTGATGCATCCAGCTTTATTCTTTTTGCTTAGGATGGCTTTCACTATTTGGGCTCTTTTTTGGTTCCATATGAATTTTAGAATAGTTTTTTTCTAATTCTGTGAAGAATGACATTGGTAGTTTGGTAGGAATAGCATTGAATTTACAGATTGCTTTGGG
This sequence comes from Homo sapiens, assembly GCF_000001405.40. NCBI lineage: Eukaryota > Metazoa > Chordata > Mammalia > Primates > Hominidae > Homo > Homo sapiens. Next base: position 209,970,654 of record NC_000001.11, read on the forward strand.
CAGTATGGCTTTTTTTTTTTTTTTTTTTTTTTTTTTTTTTTTTTTTTTGAGGCAGAGTCTCACTCTTGCCCAGGCTGGAGTACAGTGGCACAGTCTCGGCTCACTGCAACCTCCGCCTCCCAGGTTCAAGCCATTCTCCTGCCCTCAGCCTCCTGTACTGGGATTACAGTCATGTGCCACCACGCCCAACTAGTTTTTGTATTATTAGTAGAGATGGGGTTTCACCATGTTGGCCAGGCTCGTCTCAAACTCCTGACATCAGGTGATCCACCTGCCTTGGCCTCCCAAAGTGCTGGGATTACAGGTGTGAGCCACTGCGCCCAGGGCAGTATGGCCATTTTAATGATACTTACTCTCCAATCCATGAGCATGGAATGTTTTTCCATTTGTATCATCTATGATTTCTTTCAGCAGTGTTTGGTAGTTCCTCTTGAGGAGATCATTCACCTCCTTGCTTAGATGTATTCCTAGATATTTCTTTTTTTATGTGGCTATTATGAAAGAGATTGTTCTTGGCTTGGCTCTCAGCTTAAACATTATAAGTGTATAGAAATGCTGCCGATTTTTGTACTTTGATTTTGTATCTTGAAACTTTACTGAAGTCGTTTATCAGTTCCGGGAGTGTTTTCGTGGAGTCTTTAGGGTTTTCTCGGCATAGCATCATATCATCATTAAAAAGTGACAGTCTGACTTCCTTTTGTCCTATAGGGATACCTTTCATTTCTTTCTCTTGCCTGATTGCTCTAGGTAGGACTTCCAGTATTATGTTGAATAAGAGTGGTGAGAGTAGACATCCTTGTCTTGTTCCAGTTCTCAAGGGGAATTGTTCCAGCTTTTGTCCAGTCAGTATAATATTGGCTATGGGTTTGTCATAGATGGGTCTTATTATTTTGAGGTATGTTCCTTTTGCTGCCTAGTTTGTTGAGGGTTTTTATCACAAAGGGATGTTGGATTTTATCAAAAGCTTTTTTCATGTTGATTGAGATGATCATGCAGTTTTTGTTCTTAACTCAGTTTATGCGGTGAATCACATTTATTGATTTATGTATGTTGGGCCAACCTTGCATCCCAGGAATGAAGGCTACTTGATCATGGCAGATTAACTTTTTGGTATGTTGCTGAATTTGATTTGCTAATATTTTGTTGAGAATTTTTGTGTCTGTGTTCTTCAGGGATATTGGCCTGAAGTTTTCTTTTTTTGTTGTATTTTTGCCAAGTTTTGGTATTAGGGTGATGCTGGCTTCATAGAATAAGTTACGGAGGAGTCCCTCCTCCTTGTTTTTCTGGAATACATTCAGTACGATTGGCACCAGTTCTTCTTTATGCGTCTGTTAGAATTTGGCTGTGAATCCATCTGGTGCAGGGCTTTTTTTGGTTGGTAGGGTTTTTATTATTGATTCAATTTTGGAACTTGATGTTGGTCTGTTCAAGGTTTCAGTTTCTTCTTGAGACGATCTTGGGAGGTTGTATGTTTCCAGGGATTTATCCATTTCCTCTAGATTTTCTAGTTTTATTTGCATAGAGATATTCGTAGTAGTCTCTGAGGATCTTTCATATTTCTATATAATTGGTTGTAATGTCTGGATCATCTCACTGTTTTTCTTTTTTAATCTAGTGGCCTATCAATGTTGTTTATCGTTTCAAAGAACCAACTTTTGGTTTCATTGATTCTTCGTATGGATTTGGGGTCTCAGTTTCCTTCAGTTCTACTCTGATTTTTAGTTATTTCTTTTTTTCTGCTGCCTTTCAGGTTAGTTTGTTCTTGTTTTTCTCGTTCTTCTAGGTGTGATGTTAGATCATGAAGATTTTTTCTATTTAGGTAGGTGTATAGCACTATGAACTTTCCTCTTAATACTGCTTTTGCTGCATCCCAAAGATTTTTGTATGTTGTGTCTCTGTTTTCATTTATTTTAAAGATTTTTTAAATTTCTGCCTTAGTTTTATTGTTTACCCCAAAGTCACTCAGTAGCAAGTTGCTTAATTTCCATGAAATTGTGTGGTTTTGAGAGATCTTCTTGGTATTGATTTCTGTTTTTATTTCACTGTGATCTGAACGTATGGTTGGAATGATTTCAGTTTTTTTGAATTTATTGAGACTTGACTTATGGCTGAGCATGTGGCCTATCTTAGAGTGTGTTCTGTGTGCAAACAAGAAGAATGTATATTCTGTGGTTGATGGGTACAATATTCTGTAGATGGTTATTAGGTTCAGTTGGTCAAGTATCAAACTTAAGTCCAGAAATTCTTTGTTGGTTTTCTGCCACGATGATGTGTCTCATGCTGTCAGTGGGGTATCGAAGTCCCTCACTATTATTGTGTGTCTAAGTCTTTTCATAGGTCTAGAAGAATTTGTTTTATGAATCTGAGTGCCTCAGTGTTGGGTGTGTATGTATTTAGGATAGTTAAGTCTTGTTTAATTGGACACTTTATCATTATGTAATGCATTTCTCTGTCCTTTTTTATTGTTGTTGGTTTAAAGTATGTTTCATCTGATATAAGAATAGCGACTCCAGCTCTTTTTTTTTTCTGTTTGTGTGATAGATCTTTCATTTCATTTTATTTTATTTTTTATTATACTTTAAGTTTTAGGGTACATGTGCACAACGTGCAGGTTAGTTACACATGTATACATGTGCCATGTTGGTGTGCTGCACCCATTAACTCGTCATTTAACATTAGGTATATATCCTAATGCTATCCCTCCCCTCTCCCCTCACCCCACAACAGACCCCGGTGTGTGATGTTCCCCTTCCTGTGTCCACATGTTCTTATTGTTCAGTTCCCACCTATGAGTGAGAATATGTGATGTTTGGGGTTTTGTCCTTGAGATAGTTTGCTGAGAATGATGGTTTCCAGCTTCAACCATGTCCCTACAAAGGACATGAACTCATCATTTTTTATGGCTGCATAGTATTCCATGGTGTATATGTGCCACATTTTCTTAATCCAGTCTATCATTGGTGGACGTTGGGTTGGTTCCAAGTCTTTGCTATTGTGAATAGTGCCGCTATAAACATACGTGTGCATGTGTCTTTATAGCAGCATGATTTATAATCCTTTGGGTATATACCCAGTAATGGGATGGCTGGGTCAAATGGTATTTCTAGTTCTAGATCCCTGAGGAATTGCCACACTGACTTCTAGAATGGTTGAACCAGTTTACAGTCCCACCAACAGTGTAAAAGTGTTCCTATTTCTCCACATCCTCTCCAGCACCTGTTGTTTCCTGACTTTTTAATGATCGCCATTCTAACTGGTGTGAGATGGTATCTCATTGTGGTTTTGATTTGCATTTCTCTGATTGCCAGTGATGATGAGCATTTTTTCATGTGTCTTTTGGCTGCATAAATGTCTTCTTTTGAGAAGTGTCTGTTCATATCCTTCGCCCACTTTTTGATGGGGTTGTTTTTTTTTTCCTTGTAAATTTGTTTGAGTTCATTGTAGAATCTGGATATTAGCCCTTTGTCAGATGAGTAGATTGCAAAAATGTTCTCCCATTCTGTAGGTTGCCTGTTCACTCTGATGGTAGTTTCTTTTGCTGTGCAGAAGCTTTTTAGTTTAGTTAGATCCCATTTGTCAATTTTGGCTTTTGTTACCATTGCTTTTGGTGTTTTAGACATGAAGTCCTTGCCCATGCCTATGTCCTGAATGGTATTGCCTAGGTTTTCTTCTAGGGTTTTTATGGTTTCAGGTCTAACATTTACATCTTTAATCCATCTTGAATTAATTTTTGTATAAGGTGTAAGGAAGGGATCCAGTTTCAGCTTTCTACATATGGCTAGCCAGTTTTTCCAGCACCACTTATTAAATAGGGAATCGTTTACCCATTTCTTGTTTTTGTCAGATTTGTCAAAGATCGGGTGGTTGTAGATATGTGGCATTATTTCTCAGGGCTCTGTTCTGTTCCATTGGTCTATATCTCTGTTGTGGTACCAGTACCATGCTGTTTTGGTTACTGTAGCCTTGTAGTATAGTTTGAAGTCAGGTAGCGTGATGCCTCCAGCTTTGTTCTTTTGGCATAGGATTGACTTGGCAATGCGGGCTCTTTTTTGGTTCCATATGAACTTTAAAGTAGTTTTTTCCAATTCTGTGAAGAAAGTCATTGGTAGCTTGATGGAGATGGCATTGAATCTATAAATTACCTTGGGCAATTTGGCCATTTTCACAATATTGATTATTCCTACCTATGAGCATGGAATGTTCTTCCGTTTGTTTGTATCCTCTTTTATTTCATTGAGCAGTGGTTTGTAGTTCTCCTTGAAGAGGTCCTTCATGTCCCTTGTAAGTTGGATTCCTAGGTATTTTACTCTTTTTGAAGCAATTGTGAATGGGAGTTCACTCATGATTCGGCTCTCTGTTTGTCTGTTATTGGTGTATAAGAATGCTTGTGATTTTTGCACATTGATTTTGTATCCTGAGACTTTGCTGAAGTTGCCTATCGGCTTAAGGAGATTTTGGGCTGAGACAGTGGGGTTTTCTAGATATACAATCACGTCATATGCAAACAGGGACAATTTGACTTCCTCTTTTCCTAATTGAATACCCTTTATTTCCTTCTCCTGCCTGATTGCCCTGGCCAGAACTTCCAACACTAATAGGAGTGGTGAGAGAGGGCATCCCTGTCTTGTGTCAGTTTTCAAAGGGAATGCTTCCAGTTTTTGCCCATTCAGTATGATACTGGCTGTGGGTTTATCATAGACAGCTCTTATTATTTTGAGATACATCCCATCAATACCTAATTTATTGAGAGTTTTTAGCATGAAGCTTTGTTGAATTTTGTCAAAGGCCTTTTCTGCATCTATTGAGATAATCATGTGGTTTTTGTCATTGGTTCTGTATATGCTGGATTACGTTTATTGATTTGTGTATGTTGAACCAGCCTTGCATCCAGGGATGAAACCCACTTGATCATGGTGGATAAGCTTTTTGATATGCTGCTGGATTCGGTTTGCCAGTATTTTATTGAGGATTTTTGTATCAATGTTCATCAGGGATATTGGTCTAAAATTCTCTTTTTTGGTTGTGTCTCTGCCAGGCTTTGGTATCAGGATGATGCTGGCCTCATAAAATGAGTTAGGGAGGATTCCCTCTTTTTCTATTGATTGGAATAGTTTCAGAAGGAATGATACCAGCTCCTCCTTGTACCTCTGGTAGAATTCAGCTGTGAATCCATCTGATCCGGGCCTTTTTTGGTTGGTAAGCTATTAATTATTGCCTCAATTTCAGAGCCAGTTGTTGGTCTATTCAGAGATTCAACTTTTTGCTGATTTAGTCTTGGGAGGGTGTATGTGTCGAGGAATTTATCCATTTCTTCTAGATTTTCTAGTTTATTTGCATAGAGGTGTTTATAGTATTCTCTGATGGTAATTTGTATTTCTGTGGGATTGGTGGTGATATCCCCTTTATCATTTTTTATTGCATCTATTTGATTCTTCTCTCTTTTCTTCTTTATTAGTCTTGCTAGCGGTTTATCAATTTTTTTGATCTTTTCAAAAAACCAGCTCCTGGATTCATTGATTTTTTCAAGGGTTTTTTGTGTCTCTATTTCCTTCAGTTCTGCTCTGATCTTAGTTATTTCTTGCCTTCTGCTAGCTTTTGAATGTGTTTGCTCTTGCTTCTCTAGTTCTTTTAATTGTGATGTTAGGGTGTCAATTTTGGATCTTTCCTGCTTTCTCTTGTGGGCATTTAGTGCTATAAATTTCCCTCTCCACACTGCTTTGAATGTGTCCCAGAGATTCTGGTATGTTGTGTCTTTGTTCTCGTTGGTTTCAAAGAGCATCTTTACTTCTGCCTTCATTTCGTTATGTACCCAGTAGGCATTCAGGAGCAGGTTGTTCAGTTTCCATGTAGTTGAGCAGTTTTGAGTGAGTTTCTTAATCCTGAGTTCTAGTTTGATTGCACTGTGGTCTGAGAGACAGTTTGTTATAATTTCTGTTCTTTTACATTTGCTGAGGAGTCCTTTACTTCCAACTATGTGGTCAATTTTGGAATAAGTACGGCATGGTGCTGAGAAGAATGTATGTTCTGTTGATTTGGGGTGGAGAGTTCTGTAGATGTGTATTAGGTCCACTTGGTGCAGAGCTGAGTTCAATTCCTGGATATCCTTGTTAACTTTCTGTCTTCGTTGATCTGTCTAATGTTGACAGTGGGGTGTTAAAGTCTCCCATTATTATTGTGTGGGAGTCTAAGTCTCTTTGTAGGTCTCTAAGGACTTGCTTTATGAATCTGGGTGCTCCTGTATTGGGTGCATATATATTTAGGATAGTTAGCTCTTCTTGTTGAATTGATCCCTTTACCATTATGTAATGGCCTTCTTTGTCTCTTTTGATCTTTGTTGGTTTAAAGTCTATTTTATCAGAGACTAGGTTTGCAACCCCTGCCTTTTTTTTGTTTTCCATTTGCTTGGTGGATCTTCCTCCATCCCTTTATTTTGAGCCTATGTGTGTCTCTGCACGTGAGATGGGTTCCCTGAATACAGCACACTGATTGGTCTTGACTGTTTGTCCAATTTGCCAGTCTGTGTCTTTTAATTGGAGCATTTAGCCCATTTACATTAAAGGTTAATATTGTTATGTGTGAATTTGATCCTGTCATTATGATGTTAGCTGGTTATTTTGCTCGTTAGTTGATGCAGTTTCTTCCTAGCTTTGATGTCTTTACAATTTGGCATGTTTTTGCAGTGGCTGGTACTGGTTGTTCCTTTCCATGTTTAGTGCTTCCTTCAGGAGCTCTTTTAGGGCAGGCCTGGTAGTGACAAAATCTCTCACCGTTTGCTTGTCTGTAAAGGATTTTATTTCTCCTTCACTTATGAAGCTTAATTTGGCTGGATATGAAATTCTGGGTTGAAAATTCTTTTCTTTAAGAATGTTGAATATTGGTCCCCACTGTCTTCTGGCTTGTAGAGTTTCTGCCGAGAGATCAGCTGTTAGTCTGATGGGCTTCCCTTTGTGGGTAACCCGACCTTTCTCTCTGGCTGCCCTTAACATTTTTTCCTTAATTGCAACTTTGATGAATCTGACAATTATGAGTCTTGGAGTTGCTCTTCTGGAGGAGTATCTTTGTGGCATTCTCTGTATTTCCCGAATTTGAATGTTGGCCTGCCTTGCTAGTTTGGGAAAGTTCTCTTGGATAATATCCTGCAGAGTGTTTTCCAACTTGGTTCCATTCTCCCCATCACTTTCAGGTACACCAATCAGACATAGATTTGGTCTTTTCACATAGTCCCATATTTCTTGGAGGCTTTGCTCATTTCTTTTTATTCTTTTTTCTCTAAACTTCTCTTCTTGCTTCATTTCATTCACTTGATCTTCCATCACTGATACCCTTTCTTCCAGTTAATAGAATCAGCTCTTGAGTCTTGTGCATTCGTCACGTAGTTCTCGTGCCTTGGTTTTCAGCTCCATCAGGTCCTTTAAGGACTCTTTGCATGGGTTATTCTAGTTCACCATTCGTATAATTTTTTTTCAAGGTTTTTAACTTCTTTGCCATGGGTTCAAACTTTCTCCTTTAGCTCGGAGTAGTTTGATCGTCTGAAGCCTTCTTCTCTCAACTCATCGAAGTCATTCTCCGTCCAGCTTTGTTCCGTTGCTGGTGAGGAGCTGCGTTCCTTTGGAGGAGGAGAGGCGCTCTGATTTTTAGAGTTTCCAGTTTTTCTGCTCTGTTTTTTCACCATCTTTGTGGTTTTATCTACCTTTGGTCTTTGATGATGGTGACGTACAGATGGGATTTTGGTGTGGATGTCCTTTCTGTTTGTTAGTTTTCCTTCTAACATTCAGGACCCTCAGCTGCAGGTCTGTTGGAGTTTGCTAGAGGTCCACTCCAGACCCTGTTTGCCTGGGTATCAGCAGCAGAGGCTGCAGAACAGCAGATATTGGTGATCAGCAAATGTTGCTGCCTGATCGTTCCTCTGGAAGTTTTGTCTCAGAGGAGTACCTGGCCGTGTGAGGTGTCAGTCTGCCCCTACTGGGGGGTGCCTCCCAGTAAGGCTACCCAGGGGTCAGGGACCCACTTGAGGAGGCAGTCTGTCCGTTCTCAGATCTCCAGCTGCGTGCTGGGAGAACCACTACTCTCTTCAAAGCTGTCAGACAGTGACATTTAAGTCTGCAGAGGATTTTGCTGCCTTTTGTTTGGGTATTCCCTGCCCCCAGAGGTGGAACCTGCAGAGGCAGGCAGGCCTTCTTGAGCTGTGCTGGGCTCCACCCAGTTCGAGCTTCCAGGCCCCTTTGTTTACCTACTCAAGCCTGGGCAGTGGCGGGCGCCCCTCCCCCAGCCTCGCTGCCGCCTTACAGTTTGATCTCAGACTGCTGTGCTAGGAATCAGCGAGGCTCCGTGGGCGTAGGACCCTCCGAGCCAGGCGCGGGATATAATCTCCTGGTATGGTGTTTGCTAAGACCATTGGAAAAGCGCAGTATTAGGGTGGGAGTGACCCAATTTTCCGGGTGCCGTCTGTCACCCCTTTCTTTGACTAGGAAAGGGAATTCCCTGACCCCTTGCGCTTCCTGGGTGAGGCGATGCCTCGCCCTGCTTTGGCTCACGCTGGGTGCACTGCACCCACTGTCCTGCACCCACTTTCTGACACTCCCCAGTGAGATGAGCCCGGTACCTCAGTTGGAAATGCAGAAATCACCTGTCTTCTGCGTCGCTCACACTGGGAGCTCTAGACTGGAGCTGTTCCTATTCGGCCATCTTGGCTCCACCTGATAGATCTTTCTTCCACCCTTTTCTTTGAGCCTGTGGATGTTGTTATGGATGAGATGGTTTTCTTGAGGACAGCAGACAAATGGGTCTTTTTTTTTTCCCAACTTTTAAGTTTAGGGGTACATTTGCAGGATGCGAAGGTTTGTTGCAGAGGTAAATGTGTGCCATGGTGGCTTGCTGCACAGATCATCCCATCAACTAGGTATTAAGCCCAGCATCCATTAGCTATTCGTCTTGGTGCTTTCCCTCCTGCTGCCCCCTACTCTCCAACAGGCCCCAGTGTGTGTTTTTCCCCACCATGGGTCCATATGTTCTCATCACTCACCTCCCACTTGTAAGTGAGAACATGTGGCATTTGGATTTCTGTTCCTGGGTTTGTTTGCTGAGGATAACAGCTTGTGGCTCCATCCATGTCCCTACAAAGGACATGATCTTTTTTCTTTTTATGGCTGCATGGTATTCCGTGGTGTATATGTACCACATTTTCTTTATCCAGTCCATCACTGATGGGCATTTAGATTGATTCCACGTCTTTGCTATTGTGAATAGTGCTACAATGAACATGTGCATGCATATGTCTTTATAATAGAATGATTTATACTTCTTTGGGCATATACCCAGTAATGGGAGCATTGCTGGGTCAAATGGTATTTCTGCCTCTAGGTTTTTGAAGAATCACCATATTGTCTTCCACAATAGTTGAACTTAACTTACATTTTTACCAACAGTGTAAAAGTGCTCCTTTTTCTCTAGAACCATGCCAGCATCTGTTATTTTTTGACTTTTTAATTATAGCTGTTCTTACTGGTGTAAGATGGTATCTCATTGTGGTTTTGATTTACATTTCTCTGATGATCAGTGATGCTGAGCTTTTTTTCATATGTATGTTGGCTGCATGTGTATCTTCTTTTGAGAAGTGTCTGTTCATATTCTTTGCCTTTTTAATGGTTTTTTTCTTGTAAATTTGTTTAAGTTCCTTGTAGATGCTAGGTATTAGACCTTTGTGAGATGGATAGATTGCAAAATTTTCTCCTGTTCTTTAGGTTGTTTGTTCATTCTGATGGATAGTTCCTTTTGCTGCACAGAAGCTCTTTAGTTTAATTAGATCCTATTTGTTAGTTTTTGCTTTTGTTGCAATTGCTTTTGGCACTTTTGTCATGAAGTCTTTGCCGGTGCCTATATCCTGAAAGGTATTGCCTAGATTTTCTTCTAAGGTTTTTATAGTTTTGGGTTTTACATTTCATTCTTTATTTTATCTCAAGTTGATTTTTGTATATGGTGTAAGGAAGGGGTCTAGTTTCAGTTTTCTGCATATGGCTAGCCAGTTCTCCCAGTACCATTTATTAAATAGGGAGCCCTTATCCCATTGCTTGTTTTTATCAGGTTTGTTGAAGATAAGATGGTTGTAGGTGTGCAGTCTTATTTCTGGGTTTCTATTCTGTTCCATTGGTCTATGTGTCTGTTCTTGTACCAGTACCAAGCTGTTTTGGCTGCTGTAACCTTGTGGTATGGTTTGAAGTTGGGTAGCATGCTGCCTGCAACTTTGTTCTTTTTGCTTAGGATTGTCTTGGCTATTTGGGCTCTTTTTTGTCCATATGAATTTTAAAATAGTTTTTTTTCTAATTCTGTAAACAATGTCAGTGTTAGTTTAATGGGAATAGCATTCAACCTATAAATTACTTTGGGCAGTATGAATTTTCATGACATTGATTCTTCCTATCCATGAGCATGGAATGTTCTTCCATTTGTTTGTGTCATTTCTGATTTCATTGAGCAGTGGTTTGTAGTTCACCTTGAAGAGGTCCTTCACTTCCCTTAGCTTTTTGCTTTGTAGTTTTTATTGTGTGGAAGCTGTATAGGGTCTATGGGCTATGTACTTTATTATGTTTTTGTGGTAGCAGGTATTGTTCTTTCATTTCCATGTTTAGAATTCCATTAAGGATCTCTTGTAAAGCTCATTTGGTGGTAATGAATTTTCTTAGTGCTTGCTTGGTTGGAAAAAGATTTTATTTTTTCTTTGCATATGAAGCTTAGTTTGGTGGAATATGAAATTCTTTGTTGAAATTTCTTTTCTTTCTTTTTCTTTTTCTTTTTCTTTTCTTTTTTTTTTTTTTTTTTTGAGGCAGGATCTCACTCTGTTGCCCAAGCTAGAGAGCAGTGTTGCAATTGTAGCTCACTGCACCTCAAACTTCTGTGCTTAGGCAGTCCTCCCACCTTAGCCTCCCGAGTAGCTGGGACTACAGGTGTGTGCCACCACACCTGACTAATTTTTAATTTTTAGTTTTTGGAGAGATGACGTCTTGCTATGTTTTTCATGCTGGTCTCAAACTCCTGGACTCAAGCAGTCCTTCTGCATCAGCCTCTCAAAGTGTTGGGATTATAGATGTGAGCCACTATGCCTGACCCAGACTTTCTTCTTTTCAAGAAAGCTGAAAATAGGCCCTTATTCTCTCCTGCCTTGTAAAGTTTCTGCCGAGAGGCCTGCTCTTAGTCTCATGGGGCTCCATTTGTGCATGATCTGACACCTTTTTCTCTAGCTGCCTTTAAGATTTTTTTCTTTAGCGTTGACCTTGGACAGTCTGGTGACTATGTGCCTTGGTGATGTTTGTTTTCTATAGTATCTTGTAGGTGTTGCCTCGATTTCTTATATCTAGATGCCTACCTCTCTTGCAAGATCAGGAAGATTTTCTTGCATTATTCCCTCAGTTATGTTTTCCAGATTTACTTTTTCTCAAGAATGCCAGTAATTCATAGGTTTGGTTACTTTACATAGTCCCATATTTCTCAAAGACTTGTTTATTAATTATTATTATTATTATTTTTTAAATAGGGTCTCACTCTGTAACCCAAGCTGGAGTGCAGTGGCGCCATCACAGCTCACTGCACCCTTGATCTTTTGGTCTCAGGTGATCCTCCCACCTCAGCCCCCAGAGTAGCCAGGACTACAGGCATGTGCCACCGTGGCTGGCTTATTTTTGTATTTTTCTTGGAGACAAGGTTTCACCGTATTGCTTAGTCTGGTTTCAAATTTCTGAGTTGAAGCAATCCACCTGCCTCAGCCTCCCAAGATGCTGGGATTACAGGCATGAAACTGTTTTTAAAATTCCCTTTGCTTTTGTGTGACTGGGTTAGTTTAAAACACTGGTTTTGAAGTTTTGAAATTTTTTTTAATAACTCATTTGTTTTTAACACTGAATAGTATTCCATTGTCTGGATGTTGCACAGTTTTATTTATCCATTCACCTACAGAGGGACATCTTGGTTGCTTCCAAGTTTTGGCAATTATGAATAAAGCTGCTGTAAGCATCAATGTACACATTTTTGTGTGGATGTAAGTTTTCAACTTTTTTCAGTAAATATCAAGGAATGTAATTGCTGGATCATATGGTAAGAATATATTTAGCTTTGTGAGAAGCAGCCAAACTGTCTTTTAGAGTCGCTGTGCCATGTTGCATTTACGGCAGCCATTAATGAGGATTCCTGTTGCTCCACATCCTCATCAGCATTTGGAGTTGTCAGTGTTCTGGATTTTGGCCATTCTAATAGGTATGTGGTGGTGTCTCTGTTGTCTTAATTTGCATTACCCTGATAACAGATGTTGTGGAGTGTCTTTTTATGTGTTAATTTGCTATATGCTTATCGCTTTTGGTGAGGTGTCTTTTAAGGCCTTTGGCCCATTTATTCATCAGGCTGTTTTTTTTTTTATTGTTGAGTTTTAAGAGTTCTTTATATATTTTTGAAACAGTCCTTTATCAAATGTGTCTTTTGCAAATATTTTCCTGTAATCTGTAGCTTGTCTTCTCATTTTCTTCGCATTGTATTTTGCAGAGCAGAAGTTTTAAATTTTAAATTGAGATCCAGTTTATCAACTATTTTTTTTCATGGATTGTGCCTTTGGTGTTATATTTACAAAGTCATTTTTGGCCATTACTTCTTCTGATATTGTTCTGCCTTTTTCCTCTTCTCCTTTTGGTTCTCCTATGATACATGTGTTGGTATGTTTGATGGTATCTCACAGGCCCTCATTATGTTCATTTTTCTGCCTTCTTTTTTTCCCCCTGCTCCTCAAAGTGGGTCATTTCAATGGTTTTATCTTAATGTTTACTGAGTCTCTGATTTGCCTGGCCAAATCTGCCATTGAACATCTCCAGTAAACTTTCATTTGATCTAGTGTACTTTTCACTGTCAGAATGTCTATTTGGTTTCTTTTTATAATTTCTATCCCTTTATTGACACTTGTTCTCCTGATTTTCTTTGTGTGTGTGTGTGTTTTTTCTGTCCCTGGTTTATTTTAGCTTATTAATCTTACTTAAGAAAGTTCATTAAACATCCTTAACTAGTAATTCTAATTTTGGATCTTCCTCAGAGATTGTTTCTGTGAAATTCTTTTATCTTGAGAATGGGCCATACTTTCTTGTTTCTTTGAAAGCTTTGTAACTTTTTGTTGAAAACAACATTTTGAACACTCTATTGTGGTAAGTAGAAATGAGATTGTCCTACTCCTCAGGGATTTCTCATTTTTGGTTAGTAGGTGCTGCAGTCATCTATTTAGTGACCTCCCCAGACTATTTTTGAAAAGTCTTTATTCCTTCTTGTATATAGTCAGAGATGTTTCTTTTTCCTTATATCTGTGGTCAGACAAGGACCTCTCAGAGGTTTTCCTAAATGTCTGGATCCAAAAAAACCAACCAAAGATGTATGTGCCATCTGGAAATAGCCACTGTTGGCAAAGCCACTGCAGCCTGAGGCAGCCAAAACAAAGGCAGGCATCTACATCTGTTCTTCAGGGAAATGCCAGAATGATCAAAATGCACAACCGCCAATTTTTGGAAGTCAGGGTCCTTACTGCTGATTTTAGCGCCAACTAGCCAGTCCAGGTATATGAGCTGATGTCCCCATTGCCAAGGTGGGGGCTGAAGGATGGGGGATGGTAGCTGTTTTGTGCATACTGTTCTCTTACTGAGTTTCAGCAGTCTCTCCCTTCAGCAAGCACATCCCTCGTTGCTCTAATTGTCCAACAAGGTTCCAGAGTTTTGAAATAGTTGATTCTGACAATTTTTTCCTGTTTAATGGTTGTTTCAGTGGAGGTACATACCCTTGAAGCTTCCTTCTCCCTCATTTTCTGTGATGTCATTCTCTCTTATCTTTTAAAAATTTTTAAATAATAAGATGAAAATTATTTTTTAGTACACTGTATTCTTTTTGTTGTATATCTGGGTTTCCATCTTGTGTCATTTTCATTCTGTCTGAAGAACTTTAATATTTCTTACAGCAGATTTGCTGGTGATGTTGTCTTTCAACATGTGTGTATTAGTCCATTCTTCTACTGCTATAAATACCTGAGACTGGGTAATTTATTATAGAAAAGAGGTTAATTGGCTCACGGTTCTGCAGGCTGTATAAGCATGGCACTGGCATCCCTCAGCTTCTGGAGAGGGCTCAGGGAGCTTTTACTCATGCTGGAAGGGAAAGTGGGAGCAGGCACTTCACATGGCAAAAGCAGGAGCAAGAGAGAGTCAGTGGGGAGGTGCCACACACTTAAACAACTAGATCTTGTGAGTACTCACTATTTCAAGAACAGCACTAAGCCATGAGAATTCTGCCCTCAGTACCTAAACACCTCCCACCAGGCCCCACCTCCAACATTGGGGATTACATCTCAACATGAGATTTGGGTGGGGACAGATATACAAGCTATATCATTCCACCCCTGGCCCCACAAAATCTCATGTCCTTCTCATGTTGCTAAATATAATCAGGCCTTTCCAATAGTCCCCCAAAGTTTTAACTTGTTGCAACACTAAAAATCCAAAGTCTCATCTGATACAAGGCAATTGCCTTCTGTCTAGGAGCCTGTAAAATCAAACAAATTATTTACTCCCAAGATACAGTGTGGATAGAGACATTGGGTAAACATTTCCATTCCAAAAGGGAGAAATCGGCCAAAAGAAAGGGGCTGCAGACCCCATGTTAGTTCAAAACGCATCAGGGCAGTCATTAAATCTTAAAAGTTCCAAATCAGTCTCCTCTTTGACTCCACGTCCTATATTCAGGGCACACTGCTTCAAGGGGTGGGCTCCCAATGCCTTCGGCCACTCTGCCCCTGTGGCTTTTTAGGGGGTCAGCCCCCACATCTGTTCTTCCAGGATGGAGTTGAGTGCTTGTGGCTTTTCCAGGTGTACAGTGAAAGCTGCTGGTGGATCTGCCACTCTGGAGTCTGGAGAACAGCTGCCCTTTTTCCACAGCTCCACTAGGAGTGTCCCAGTGGGGACTCTGTGTGGGGCCTCCATCCTCACATTTTCCCTCTGCACTGCTCTAGTAGAGGTTTTCTGTGAGGCCTTAATCCCTGCAGCAATCTTCTTCCTAGACACTCAGGCTTTTCTAAACATCTTTGAAATCTAGGCAGAGGCTGCCAAGCTTCCACTACTCTTGCACTCCAAGTGCCTACAGGCTTAACACTACATGGAAGCCTCCAAGGCTTACAGCTTGCACTCTCTGAAGCAGCAGCCCAAGGTATACCTGGGCCTTTTTGAGCTGAGGCTGGAGCCAGAGTGGCCGGGATACAGGAGCAATTTCCCAAGGCTGTGCAGGGCAGCAGGACCCTAGGCCTGGCCCACAAAACCATTCAGTTCTCCTAGGCTTCAAGACCTTTGGTTGGAAGGGCTGCCATGAAGGTCTCTGAGACCTTTCTCCCATAGTATTGGGTATTAGTACTTGGCTCCTTTTTAATTTTGCAAATTTCTCTAGGAAGTGGTTGCTCCGCAGCCTGCTTAAATTCCTGCCTTGAAATTGGGCCTTTCTTTTCTACCACAAGCCCAGGCTGCAAATTTTCCAAACTTTTATGCTCTGCTTCCCTTTTAAATGTAAGTTCCTATGTTAGTAATTTCTTTGTTCCCACATCTGAACATAGGCTGTTAGAAGCAGCCAGGCCACATCCTGAATGCTTTGCCACTTAGAAATTTCTTCTGCCAGGGGCTGGGCGCGGTGGCTCATGCCTGTAGTCCTAGCACTTTGGGAGGCCAAGGCAGGTGGATCATGAGGTCAGGAGATCGAGACCATCCTGGCTAACATGCTGAAACCCTGCCTCTACTAAAAATAATAATTTAAAAAAAATTAGCCGGGCGAGGTGGCGGGCGCCTATAGTCCCAGCTACTCAGGAGGCTGAGGCAGGAGAATGGCGTGAACCCAGGAGGTGGAGCTTGCAGTGAGCCAAGATTGCGCCATTGCACTCCAGCCTGGGTGATAGCATGAGACTCCGTCTCAAAAAAAAAAAAAATTTCTTCCGCCAGATACCTTAAATCATCTTTCTTTTTTTCTTTTTTGAGACGGAGTCTCACTCTGTCGCCCAGTGCAACCTCTGCCTCCCGGGTTCAAGCAATTCCCCTGCCTCAGCCTTCTGAGTAGCTGGAATTACAGGCATGCGCCACCATGCCCGGCTAATTTTTGTATTTTTTGTAGAGACAGAGTTTCACCATATTGGTCAGGCTGGTCTTGAACTCCTGACCTTGTGATCCGCCCACCTCAGCCTCCCAAAGTGCTGGGATTACAGGCATGAGCCACCATACCCGACCCAATTATCTTTCATTTTCAAACTTACACAGATCCCTAGGACATGAACACAATGCAACCAAGCTCTTTGTTAAGGCATAATATGAGTTACCTTTGCTCCAGTTCCCAGTGTGTTTGTCATTTCCATCTGAGAACTCAGCAGCCTGGACTTGATTGTCCATATCAACATCATCATTTTGGTCACAACCATTTAACTCATCTCTAAGCAGTTCCAAACTTTCCCTCATCTTCCTGTCTTCTTCTGAGCCCTCCAGACTATTCTAACCTCTGCCTGTTACCCACTTCCAAAGTTGCTTTCACATTTTCAGATATCTTTATAGCAGAGCCCCACTCCTTGGTACCAGTTTTCTATATTAGGCAATTCTTGTGTTGCTATAAAGAAATACCTGAGACTGGATAATTTATAAAGAGGTTTAATTGGCTTAAAGTTTTGTAGGCTGTGCAAGCATGGCGCTGGCATCTGTTCAGCTTCTGTAGAGGCCTCAGGAAGCTTTTACTAATAGTGGGACATGAAGTGGGAGCAAGCACTTCACATGGTGAAAACAGGAGCAAGAGAGAATGTGGGTGAGGTGCTACACACTTAAACAATCAGATCTTGTGAGTACTCACTACTGTAAGGACAGCACCAAGCTGTAAAGGATCTTCCCCCATGATCCAAACACCTCCCACTAGGTCTCACCTCCAACACTGGTAATTACATTTCAATATGAGATTTGGGTGGAGACAAATATCCAAACTATATCCTTTTGTGTGACTCAAAGTTGTGTTGTGTTGTTTTACAAAATTTCACCTTTTGCTTTTCAAAGATCATTTAACTGGCAAGGACTTCTAGATTAGCGGCTTTTATTCTTTCAATACTTTAAAGATAGTGTGCCACTTGTTCTATCTTTTATTATTTCTGATGAATCTCTTGTCAGCCTTACCTCTTTTCTTTTGTAGATAATGTGTAATTTTTCTGACTACTTCTGTTTTTATCTTTACAACTTTAATCCATTTGAATATAATGTTCCTTTGTGTAGTTTTCTTCGTTTTTTTCTTGTACATTGAATTTACTGAGCTGCTTTTGGTGATAGTTTTCATTAAATTTGGAACAATTTTGACCATCACTTCTTCAAATGTTTTCTTGATTTCTTCTTTTCTCATCTCTTTTGTGGGGACTTCAATTACACATGTATTTATCTACTTGAAGTTGTTCCACAATTTACTGATTATTTGCATTTTTTTAGTCTTTCTGTTGTGTTTATGCTTTCTGTTGATATGTCTTCAGGTTCATTAACATTTTCTTTTGTAATATCTGATGTGCTGTCAGTCTCTTTCAGTGTATTTTTATCTAAGACATTTTAGTTTTTACCTTTGGAAGTTTGATTTAGGCTTTTAAGAAAAGTTCCGTATCTCCTCTTACCACATTCGATCATTCCTCTGGTTCTTCAAACCCATGGAATATATCATCATAATTGTTAGTGTCCCTGTCTCCTAATTTTATCAATTTTCTGAGTCAGTTTCGATTGATTAATTTTTCTGCTAGGTTTTTTTCATTTTGCTTCTTTGCATACCTGATAATTTCTTTATTGGATGCCAAACATTGTGAAGTTTCCCTTGTTGAGTGTTAGATCTAATCGTGATTAGTTCTTGAGCTTTATTCTGAGATAGGTTAAATTACCTGAGACTTTCCTTTCAGTCTTGCTTTTCACCTTTGTTAGGAGGGGCAAAACCTGCATTTAGTGTAAGATTAATTTTCTGAAGCAAAATCCTTCATATGTCAGTCTAATCAGTGGCTCATAAGGTTTGAGATTTTAAAATTCTGGATCTTCAGAATAGTCCCCATTTCATGCTCTGTGTAAGATTTGGCATGTCTTCCCTCTAATCCTCTTAGGCAGTTTTTTTCCCAGCCTCTGATTGTTTCCTTACATGTATGTGCTAAGAAGTACTGAACTGTATCTTAGGAGTGACTCAGTGCAGGTGTCTGGAGTTCTCTGTCTACACAGCTTTTTATTCCGGGACTCAGCCACATGAACTTGAGCACACTTGGCTTCTTCATACTCCCAGGTTTATCTCCTCAACACTCACCTGACTGTACAGTGACCGCACTGTCCCCTTTCTCCAGGTAGTAAGCTTGGAAAATCATAGTCATACAGATGATCTCATTTTTTTTCTTCCTCTGAATGATCACTCCTTTATTGCCCATCTTCAGTGTCTTGAGTGCCATTGTTTCATACGCTCTGTCTTGTTTTAGTGTTTTCAGGTGGTGGGAGAAATCTGTCCATGTTATTTTATCTTAACTGGAAGTAGAAAATGTGATTATTAGAATGGGGTCATTTTTGGTATTTAAATAGACTATATAAAAATCTGCAGCAGCGATTTCAGGAGAGACTGGGAAATTACACAGGAACTGAGAGTCCTGGATTAGAGAACAAGATATGGTGAAATTTAAGAGGAGACAGAAATTTGATTATTTAGAAGAATTGGAAATTGGACAATGTAGGTTTATGAATAAAAAGTAAAAACAAAATTTATTAAGGTAGAGAATTAGTTTTATCTTACATTTACCTTAAGGAAAGGCATTCTCTAGCTGTCTGCTCTTCAGCCTTTGAATCATTGTCTTAGAACATTTCATTTGATTTCTGAATGAGATTACTTATTAAGTTTTAACATTCCAGAAATGGTGATATAAATGTAGTTGCTTATATCATCTTTCTTCCTTTAAAGCTTAAAGTTAACAGTGATAAAAGATAATGTGTATTATATTTACGTAGAAGTTAAATATATTTTATATTACTTTTTGAGCATGTCAGGGGAATTATAGTATAGTTATGTTAACTAGTAGATATATGGTGCCATCTAATGGCTAATATGAAAATATATTTAGTAAATACTTCAGTGCTTTGCCTAGTGTGTATATATGAAATTTTACTGTGAAATTATTGTTGCTTTAGATGTCCAAGGCGTCGTTTTTATTTAAACTCTAAGATATATTTATATTTTCATTTCAATTTATACTTTTTAAAATTCAGCTATATATTGGTCTGACTTTTCATCACGTTTAAAGCCATGTACTTGCAGTTAGCACAATTTAAAGTATATTCAATATAAAATTAGCATATAAATCAATTTTAATAAACAAGTAAAAATTACAGACCTCCTGTTTGCTATCTTTTACTTCTGGTTCCTTCAAACTGGACCCAATATGTAGTTATAAATTATGCCTTATAGAACCTCAGCTTTATTGTAAACAGAATTCATTTTCCCTCCACCTTTCATCTGTTTTTGTACATTTTACAAAATATATAAAAAATGTTAGAATATTGTATTAGATTGGTGATTTTTAAATGCTGTTCCAGATTGTTAGGGCTTCTCTAGAGCCACTCAGTCTGTGATGGAGATGGCTAAGTTTAGAAAATTAGCATATCAATGGCTCTAGAAGTCCTGCACTGAAAAACTTCTCAACTTTATTTAGCCCAATATTTCCTGAATACGTTTCATCATGGAACGCCCCCACCTTCCTTTTTAAAAATCTCACATCTTAATATCTGTTGATCTAGTGTTCCTCAGATGTCATTTTGGCAGTTGTCCTAAATTCCATTTTTAAGGATGAAGGAATATTTCACATATATATATATACGTATATATATGTATATATATACGTATATATATGTATGTATATTTCTTGTTTTAATGAAATAAAGTGTGTTGCTTTTTCTTATCATATGATAATACTTGTTATTTATCAAAAATTTAGCAGTATGCCATTTACCCTGATGTGATTATTACACATTGTATGCCTGTATCAAAATAACTAATGTACTCCATAAATATATACACTTATATATATACCCATAAAAAATTTAAAAAATTAGTAAATACAGAGTAATCATTGTTTCTTTCACATTCTTGTCATTTCCTCGTTAGAAAAAGCTTTGTCAGATTGGTATTATTACAAAGTTGGAGGTATCACTTTACCTGACTTCAAATTATACTGCAAGGTGTTAGTAACCAAAATAGCATGGTATAAAAATAGTCGCAGATTAGTAGAATAGAATAGAGAACCCAGAAATAAAGCCCCACACTTACAGCAAACTGATCTTTGATAAAGTCAACAAAATTATACACTGGGGAAAGGACACCCTATTCAGTAAGTGGCGCTAGGAAAATTGGATTGCCATATGCAGAATGAAACTGGACTCCTAACTCTCACCACATACAAAAAATAACTCAAGATGGATTAAAGCCTTAAATGTAAGTCCTGAAGCTGCAAAAAGTGTAGAAGAAAATCTAGGAAAAACTCCTCCAGACATTGGCCTAGACCAAGAATTCATGACTGAGACCTTCAAAAGCAAATGCAACAAAAACAAAAGTAGACAAATGGGGCTATATAAACTGAAAAGCTTCTGCACAGTAAAAGAAATAATCAACACAGTGAACAGACAACCTGCAGAATGGGGGAAAATACTAGCCAACTTTGCATCTGATAAAGGTCCAATGTCCAGAATCTACAAGGAATGCAAACAACTCAACCAAAATCCCTCAAATAACCCCATTAAAAAGTGAGCAACGGAAATGCACAGACATTTTGCAAAGGAAGACATACATATGGCCAAGAAGCATATGAAAAAATGCTCAACATCACTAATCATCAGAGAAATGCAAATTAAAACCACAAGGAGATACCGTCTTACACCAATCAGAATAGCTGTTATTAAAAAGTCAAATAACATCTAACCTGGCCAATATAGTGAAACCCCATCTCTACTGAAAATACAGAAATTAGCTGGGCGTGGTGGTGTGTGCCTGTGGTCCCAGCTACTCGGGAGGCTAAGGCATGAGAATCGCTTGAACCTAGGAGGCAGAGGCTGCAGAGAGCCAAGATCACACCACTGCACTCCAGCCTGGGCGATAAAGCGAGACTCCGTCTCGAGAAAAAAAAAAAAAAAGTCAAATAACAGATATTGACGGGGATGCAGAGAAATGGAAACATACGCTGTTGGTGGGAATGTAAATTTGTTAAGCCACTGTAGAAAGCAGTTTGCAGATTTCTCAAATAATTTAAACAGAACTACCATTTGACCTAGCAATCTCATTACTTAGTATAGGCTCAAGGGAAAATAAATCATTATATCAAAAAGATACCTGCACCTGTATGTTTATTGCAGCACTATTCACAATGGCAAAGATATGGAATCAACCTAAGTGTCTACCAATAGATGACTGGATAAAGAAAATTTTTTTTTGTTGTTGTTGTTTTTGCTTGAGACAGGGTCTTGCTCTGTCACCCAGGCTGGAGTGCAGCGGCACGATCATAGCTCACTCATCCTTGAACTCCTGGGTTCAAGTAATCCTCCTGCCTCAGCCTCCCAAGTAGCTAGGACTACAGATGCACACCACCACACCTGGCTAAAAAATGTGGTTTATATAACCATGGAATACTACTCAACTATAAAAAAGAATGAAATCTTGTCTTTTGCAGCAACATGGAGGGAACTGGAGGCCATTATTTTAAGTGAAATAACTAAAAAACAGAAAGTCAGATGCTGCATGTTCTCATGGGTAAGTGGGAGATAAATAATGTGTACACATGGACATAGAAAATGTAGTAATAGACATTGGCAACTCAGTAGGATGGAAGTGTGAGAGAAGGATGAGGGATGGGAAATTACTTAATGGGTACAGTGTATACTTATTCTGGTGATGGCTACGCTAAAAACACCACTATGCAATATATCTTTGTAACAAAATGGCACTTAAACCCCCTGAATTTATAAAAAACAAATAAATAAAAGGCAAATGTAAACCATGCTTGCTTAAGAAAACTGAAGGGGGGACAAGATGGCCTACTAGACACAGGGAGGAAGTACCATTCACACTGAGAGAGACCATATTATTGAGTAAACCACCTTAATTTGGGCAGATCTTCAAAGAGAAAAAGCTGAGAGTGAATGGAAAGGCGACACTGAAGCTGAGCATGAAGGTGGGGAAGCTGGGAACACTGTGTAGGTTAACTGAACCCTAGGACTAGTTCCTGGCCCTTAAGAGCTCCTGGGAAAGAGGTGAATGAAGGACCTGAGGGACAGCTCACTTTCACCACTGACCCCTAGGATCCTAGTTACTCGTCTGCTGTGGACATGCGAGCTGGCAGAGGGATCTTGCTGGGGATAGGCAGAGACTAATTTTCAGATGTTGCAGAGCCTGGGAGTTTTTGTGGGCTGGGTAGCTCTGTCAGAGAGTGACCATAGATGTCTTTTCCCTAGGGTTCCCCATCCCCCTTCAGGAAGTGCCAGCCCCAACTGACCTCTGAGCCAGAAAAGAGTGGGGCTGGCTTCGCCATGGAACAGGGGCACATCTGTTGTGCAAGCTCGCCTGTCGACTGCCCCTCCTTGGACACATGCCTAGCTGCCCCGCATGATTGAGTGCACAGTGTAGCATCTGCAGCCTAGCCTGAGTGCATTGTTTCACCTTATTTCTTTTCCTAGTGGCCCAGAAACACTTGTAATTCCTCAGCACAGCTGGAACCTGACCCCAAGCTGCGGGACATCTGGGTACCCCCAGAGCTCCAGCCTGCAGCCAAGATCTGTGGCCAGCACATGAGCTGGGGAGGAGACTGTATGTACCCTTAGAACACTGAGGGGGCGACACGCATGGGTTCCTGGACCAGGGTGGGAACCAGACATGCATTTCTCCTTAAACAGGGCCTGTCCAGAAGGGGTTTGGCATATCTCTCTGTTGCAGCCTCTGCCTGGGGGGCCTGGCAGCCCGGAACACCTAACAAAAGAAACTCAGGCATGGGCGCCCATGATTGGAGGGAGCTCCCCCAAGTGGACCTGGTGAGGCCATCTCTTCTCCTTCCCCTCTCCCCATCCCTGACTTCCCCACTGCAGTGCACACCTGTGAAAGTGAGGAAGTACCAAAGAGTTGTGTGGCTGGGTATTAGCCTAGCTACTGGCCATTACTCTTAAGTGCCAGCTACTGGATTGTAGCCCAAACTGCAACACCAAAAATCTGCTGATATATACACCTGTGAAACCAAGTGCAAGTGTTTACCTAAAGATGTTGTACGGAGCCCTAGTCCTCTGAAAGCACCCAGAATTGAAGCTAACTGACTATATACAGTTAACACTGCAGAACACCAACCCTCCAAGATGAGAGTCAGTGCTAGAACTCTGGCAATTCAAAAAGCCAAAGTGTCCCCCTACCTCCAAATGAATCTACTAGTTCCCCAGCAATGGTTCTTAACCAGTTTGAAATGACTGAAATAACAGTCATAGAATTCAGAATCTGGATAGAAGGGATGCTCATTGAGATTCAGGAGATAGTTGAAACACAATCTAAGGAATCCAGTAAGATGATCAAGGAGCTGAAAGAGGAAATAACCATTTTAAGAAAGAACCAACTGAACTTCTAGACCTGAAGAACTCACTACAAAAATTTTATAATACAATCAGAAGTATTAACAGCAGAATAGAACAAACTGAGGAAAGAATCTTAGACTTTGAAGATTGTTTCTTCAAGGCAACTCAGACAAAAACGAAGAAAAAAGAATTTTTTAAAACTGAAAAAAACCTCTGAGAAATATGGGATTATGTAAAGTGATTAAATCTAAGACTCATTGGCATTCCTGAGAGAGAAGGAGAGAGAAAAATAACTTGGAAAATATACTTGAGGATATAATCCATGAAAATTTCCCTAATCTTGCTAGAGGTTGACATGTTAATCCAATAAATACAGAGAACACCAGCTAGATACTATAGACAGGAACCGTCACCAAAGCACATAGCCATCAGATTCACCAAGGTCAACATTAAAGAAAAAATCTTAAAGGCAGCTAGAAAGAAGGGTCAAGTCACATACAGAGGGAACCTCATTAGGTTAGCAGCAGACCTCTCAGTAGAAACCTCACTAGCCAGAAGAAATTGGGGGCCTATTTTCAACATCCATAGAGAAAAGGAATTCCAGCTAAGAATTTCATCTCTTACCAAACTAAGCTTCATAAGTGAAAGAGAAATAAAATCTTCATCAGATTTTAAGCAAATGCTGAGGAAATTTGTTTCAACTAGACCAGCCATATAAGAAGTCTTTAAGGGAGTGCTAAACATGGAATCGTAAGAACAATATCTGATACCACAAAAACACACTTAAGTACGTAGCTCACAGGTACTATAAAGCAACTATGCAATCAGTTCTACCTAACAACCAGCTAACAAGATGATGACAAGATGAAAATCATACATATCAATACTAACCTTGAATGTAAATACACTAAAACCCCACTTAAAAGACACAGAGTGGCAAGGTGGATAAAAAGAGAAAGCTCAACCATCTGTTGTCTTCAACAGAACCATCTCACCTCTTGTGACACCTGTAGGCGCAAAGGAAAGGGATGGAGAAAGATATGCAAACAGAAACCAAAAAAAGAGCAGAAGTCACTATTCTTATATCAGATAAAACATATGTTAAGCCAATAAAAATTAAGAACAATGAAGGACATTACATAATGATGAAAAGTACAATCCAACAAGAAGACTTAATTATCCTAAATACATAGACACCAAACATTGGAGCACCCAGATTCATAAAACCAGTTCTTCTTGTCCTACGAAAAGACATATAGACAACCACGTAATAATAGGGTGAGACTTCAACACCCCACTGACAGTGTTAGATCATCAAGGCAGAAAACTAACAATGAAACTCCGGACTTAAACTCAGCATTTGACCAATTGGACCTCATAGACATCTACAGAACACTCCACCCAACAACTACAGAGTATACATTCTTCTCATATGCATACTGAACATATTCTAAGAGCCAGCACCTGCTCAGTCATAAAACAAATCTCAGTAAATTCAAAAAAACTCAAATCATACCAGCCATATTCTCAGACCACAATACAGTAAAAATAGAAATCAGTATAAGGAAGATCTCTCAAAACTGCACAAGTACATGGAAATTAAACAACTTACTCTTGAAACTCCTGTGGGAACGTTGAAATTAAGGCAGAAATAAATTATTTGAAATTAATGAAAATGGAGACACATCTTACTAGAATCTCTGGGATGCAGCTAAAGTAGTTTTAAGAGAACAGTTTATAGCCCTAAATGCCTTCATCAAAAATTTAGAAAGATCTCAAATGAGCAATCTACCCTTGCACCTAAAGGAACTAGAAAAGAAGAAAAAATACCAACCCAAAGCTAGCCGAAGAAAAGAAAGAACTAAAATTAGAGAAGAATTTAATGAAATTGAGCTACAATAATCCATACAAAAGATCAATGAAATCAAGAGTTGGTTCCTTGAAAAATTAAACAAGACTCATAGACTGCTAGCTAGATTAACAAATACAGTTGGAAATGACAAAGATGGCAGTATAACTGATCCCACAGTAATACAAAAGATCCTCGGAGAATGATGTGAACAACTCTAATGCACACAAATTAGAAAATCTAGAGGAAGTGTATAAAATCCTGGAAACATGCAGTCTTCCAAGATTGAATAAGAAAGAGATTGAAATCCTGAACAGATCAATATAAAGATCTGAATTTGAATCAATAATAAAAACTCTACTAACCAAAACAAAAAAGACCTGGACCAGGTGGATTCACAGCCAAATTCTAACAGACACACAGAGAAAAACTGGTGCCAATCCTACTGAAACTATTCCAGGAAATCAAGGAGGAGGGACTCCTCCCTAACTCATTCTACAAAGCCAGCATCACCCTAATACCAAAACCTGGCAAAGACACAACAAAAAAAGAAAACTTCAGGCCAGTATCCTGAACATATTGATGAACATAGACACGAAAATCCTCGGCAAAATACTAGCAAATCTAATTCAGCAGCATATCAAAAAGTTAATTTACGATGATTAAGTAGCCTTCTTTCCTGGGATGCAAGGTTGTTCCAACATACATAAATCAAAAAATGTGATTCACTGCATGAACAGAATCAAAAGCAAAATCCACATGATCATCTCAATCGACACAGAAAAAGCTTTAGATAAAATCCAGTATCCCTTCATGACAAAAACCCTCACCAAACTAGGCATCAAAGGAACATACCTCAAAATAATGAGTCATCTATGCCAGACTCATAGCCAACATCATACTGAGTGGGCAAAAGCTAGAACCTTTCTCCTTGAGAACTGGAACAAGACAAGAATGTCTACTCTTAACACTCTTCTTCAACACAGAACTGAAAGTCCTAGCCAGAGCAATCAGGCAAGGGAAAAATAAAAGGCATCCAGATAGGGAAAAAAAGAAAAAAAAAAGTCAAATGGCTTCTTTTTGCTGACGATATGATTCTACACGTAGAAAATCCTAAAGACTCCACCAAAAGGCTGCAAGAACTGATGAACAATTTTAGCAAGGTTTCAGGATATGAAATCAGTGTACAAAAATCAGTAGCATTTCTATACACCAATAATGCCTAGACTGAGAATCAAATGAAGAACACAATCTCATTCATAATAGCCACACAAAAAATGAAATACCTGGGAATACATCTAACCAAGGAGGTGAAAGATCTCTATAAGGAATATTAAAAAACACTACTGAAAGAAATTGGAGATGATACAAATAGAAAACACTCTATTCTCATGAATTGGAAGAATTAATATCGTTAAAATGGCCACACTGCCCAGTGCAATCTACAGGTTCAATGCTATCACTATTAAACTACCAATGTAATTCTTCACAGAATTAAAAAAAGGCTATTCTAAATTTCGTATGGAACGTTGGATACTCAGGGACATAAATATGAGAACAGTGGACACTGCAGACTACTACAGAGGGCATGGGGGCATGGGTTACAAAACTACCTATTGGGTACTGTGCTCACTACCTGGGTGCAATATAAATAACCATGTAACAGGCCTGTATATGTACCCCCCTGTATCTAAAATAAAAGTTGAAAGTAAAAATTTATTATTTAAAATTGCTTTATTACTCTGAAGTTGGATATTTTTTCAATTTTAACGGTGATTTAACATTTAAGAATTCAACATTCTTCTTTGGTGACTACTCCATGGAAATTATTCTTGAAGATTTATAATGTTCTTTATTTAAAAAGTTAAAGGCTTTTTTGAGTAATTTTTTAAAACCATATGTTAAATTTTGCCGTCTTTTTTGTTTAACTTTGAATTTTGATTGCGTGTTTTTAAGACAGAGTTTTCATATTTGTACACAGGAAAAAAGTATTAATCATTTTTATTTCTAGGGTTTTTTTGTTTAATTTTATGTAGTATTTCTATACACCAATAATGAGTAGCTGAAAAAGGCCAAGAAGGCAATCACATTAACCACAGGTATGGAAAACAAAATAAAATAATAAAGTTAGCCATGGAGGTGAAAGACCTCTATAAGGAAGACTATGAAACACTGATAAAAGAAATTGAAGAGGACCCAAACAAATGGAAAGCCATCCCGTGCTCATGGATTGGAAGAGTTAATATTATTAAAATGACCATATTACACAAAGTGGTCTACACATTCAGTGCAATCCCTGTCAGAATATCAATGTCATTTTTAACAGAAATAGAGAAAACAACTCTAGAATTTGTATAGAACTAAAAAAAATACCCCAAATAGTCAAAACAGTCCCGAGCAAAAAGAATAAAGCTGGAAGCAGCATACTATCTGACTTCAAAATACAAGGCTATAGTAACAGAACAGCATGATGTTGATATTAAAGCAGACACATAAACCAATGGAATAGAACAAAGAACCCAGAAATAAATCTATGTATTTATATCCAACTCATTTTGACAAAAGCCCCAAGAACATATTTTGTGGAAAGAACAGCCTCTTCAATAAATGGTGTTGGGAAATCTGGATATTCATATGCAGAAAAATGAAACTGTACTCCTCTCTCACCATATACAAAAATGAACTCAAGATTGATTAAAGACTTAAAAGTAAGACCCGAAACTATAAAACTACTGAAAGAAAAAAGGAGAAATACTTCAGGACATTGGGTTAAGCAATATTTTATGGCTAAGACCTCAAAAGCACAAGCTAAAACCCCCCAAAATAGACAAATGGGACTATATTAAGCTAAAAAGCTTCTGCACAGCAAAGAAAACAACAGAGCAAAAAGACAACATGTTGAATGGGAGAAAATATAAAGTATTAGCAGGAACTTATTTGACAAGGAACTTATTTGCAGAATTTACAAGAAACTCAGTGGCAGAAAAGTAAATAATCCCATTAAAAAGTGGGCAAAGGAGATGAATAGACATTTCTGAAAAGACAGTTTCATATCACTGATCATCAGGGAAATGCAAACCAAAGCCACAACGAGGTATCATCTTACACCAGTTAAAATGGCTATTATCAAAAAGATAAAAAATAACAGATGTTGTCAAGGATGCAGAAAAGTGGGAATTCTTATACATGGTTGGAGAGAATGTAAATTAGTACAGCCACTATGGGAAACAGTATGGAGATATCTCAAAAAAGTAAAAATAGAACTACCATACAATCCAGAAATCCTTCTACTGGGTATTTATCTGAGGGTGAAGAAATTAGTTTATCAGTGGGATACCTGCATCCATAGTTTCTTGCAGCACTATTCACAATAGCAGAGATATGAAATCAATGTAAGTGTCCATTTTCCAATGAATGGATAAGAAAATGTGGTAAATTTACACAATGGAATACTATTCAGCCATAAAAAGAATGAAACCTTGTCATTTGCAGCAACATGAAAAGAACTAGAGGTCATTATGGTAAATGAAATAAGCCAGACACACACAGAAAGACATTGTATGCTCTCACTCATATGTGGGAGCTAAAAAAGTGGATCTCATAGAGGTAGAGAGTAGAATAGTAAATATCAGAGGCTCAGAATGGTGTATATGGTAAGGATGGGGGAATAAGAGGTTGGTTAATGCATATGAACATAGTTAAATAGAAGGAATAAGTTCTAATGTTCAGTAGCAGAGCAGGGTGACTAGTTAACAACAATATATTGTATATTTCAAAATCTAGAAGAGAGGACTTGAAATGTTCCCAGCACATGGAAATGATAAATACCTGAGGTGATGGATACCTTAAAGTACTCCAACTTGGTCATAACACATTCTATTCTTGTAACAAAATATCAGATGTACCCCATGAATATGTGCAAAAATTATGTATTAATAAAAATGTTTTTAAAGTTATGATTTTATTTTTATTTTACAGATATTTGCAAATGTATACAAACACTTTTTTGCTGTGGTGTATAAAGTATTTGCTTTAAAATTGTATATGTATATATTTACTGTTATCTCCCTATTTTAGTGTACAGTATTCTATATTTGTAAGTATTATATTAGTCCAGACAATTGAATCCTGACTCTGCCACTTACGGCTTTGTGAATTTGGACAAATTCTTTCATCACATGTTTCGGTTTCCTTTTCTGCAAGGGTAGTAGAGTTGTTGTGAAACTTGAATGAAATTATACATGTAAAATACGTGGGATAGTGCATGATGCAGAGTAAGCCTTGAATTACTTTTGTTGTAATTTTTATTAGACTTGCCAAAGTATGTTCATCTTATTTTAGTCCTTTGTCCTCATACGCACACACACACACACACACACACACACACA
This sequence comes from Homo sapiens, assembly GCF_000001405.40. Lineage (NCBI taxonomy): Eukaryota > Metazoa > Chordata > Mammalia > Primates > Hominidae > Homo > Homo sapiens. Next base: position 210,000,497 of record NC_000001.11, read on the forward strand.
CACAATCTAAGAAAATGTTCTTAGATACTTCTGTTGCTTTTATCGAATTTAATTTATTGCTGCTTTTCTTTTTATTATGTTCTCCTCCTACTTTCATTAGGGCTGTTTTATGCCTTCTTTTTTTTTTTTTTTTTTTGAGATAGAGTCTCACTGTGTCACCCAGGCTGGAGTGCAGTGGTGCGATCTCGGCTCACTGCAACCTCTGCCCTCCGAGTCAAGTGATTCTCCTGCCTCAGCCTCCCTAGTAGCTGGGATTAGAGGCGCCTGCCACCGCGCCAGGCTAATTTTTTGTATTTTTAGTAGAGACGGGGTTTCACCATCTTGGCCAGGCTGGTCTTGATCTCCTGACCTTGTGATCCACCCACCTCGGCCTCCCAAAGTGCTGGGATGCCTTCTTTTTAAAACTTGTTTCTGCGTGCCTCATAGTTTTCATCCTTTTGTGATTAAAAACACATTATTTTAAGACTGAATTATGTTTTTCATTAACCTCTGAAGAATGAAGTTTTATTGTTAAAATAATAAAGGACTCTTGTTTTCACTGAGGCTCATGGAGGCTAGAATTGAATGTTGTTTTGAATCCAGGGCATCCTAAAACCTCTTTAGTGCTGAAAATAAAACAAGCAGCTTTGCTGTGTTCCTAATTTTAAAGTTAATACTTTTGAATTGTAATATATTTTCATGAATTTTTTTGCTATATTATTTTGGCTGATTTCCTTTATCAGGCTAAGTAAGTTACCTTCCAGCTCAAATTTGCTAATTTTTTTTTAATTATAGGTTGCTATTGAGGTTTCTTAATAACTTTTTTTTTTGCCCTGTTGAAAGGATGTCTTGACTCCTTTACTTTGTTAGTGTGATGAATTCTATCAGTTGATTTTCTAATGTTACATTATTTTTACATAGTGGGGATAAATCTAACTCTGTCTTGATGTATTTCTCCATATATTTCTGGATTTGGGTTTTAGTATTTATATTTTACATTTATATTCATCATTTTAAATTACATTTATATTCATAATTATTGCCTAGCAATCTATCCCAAATATCAGCTGGCTTCCTGCCTTTTGAAGCGTACATGCTAGTATGGGAAGACAGATAACAAATGATATAAAAAGTAATAAATTATTTGGTATTTTAGAAGATAAGAGATACAAAAAATAAGCCAGGGAAAAGGTGAGGTATGGGTGTTAATGGGTTGCATTTTAAAATAGGGTTGACAGAGTTGCTCTTATTAAGAAAGTAATGTTTAAGCAAAGACTCGAAGGAGGTGAAAGAATCAGTTATGTGAATATCTGGGAAAATGCCATCAAAGCAGAGGGGGAACATCCAGGGAAAAACAACCTGGCTAATATGTGAGAAACATCAAGGCCGACTGTGGAATGAACTAGTAGGGAAGTGGTAGGAAATGAGGTCAGAGTAGTCATAGAGAGCCAGATCATGCAGGAAATGAGGAGCCATTGGAAGGTTTTGACCAGAGGACAGTCAGTTCTGATTTACATTTTGAAGGGCTCATTCTGGACACTGTGATAAGATTAGACTGAGAGGGACAAGATTATAAGTGGGTCATTCAGATAGCAGCTCTCGCAGACTGGAATGATTCACCAGGTATCACCATAACCAAGATAAACTGCCCATAAGAACTATACATTTTTTTAGTTCTTTTTAAATTTTGAAACAAAATGAAGAATAATACTTAAAAGCAAGCACCTATGTAACCAGAACCCAGGTAGAGAAGTAGAATGCCGCCATTTCTTCAAAAGCCCCCGTGCACTCTTCCTGAGTATTATCCCTTTTCTGCTTGCTTTTATGGACATTAATATTTTTTTCTTTAAGTTTTACCACCTAAGTACACATCCTTGAAAGATTAGTTTTGCCTGTTTTGAACTTTATATTGGAATCTTTATATTGGAATCTTGTCCCTTCTGCCTTGCTGCTTTTGCTTAACCTCATATTTCCAAGATTCAGTTTTTTGCATGTAACTATTATTCATTCATTTTTATGGCTACATAATTTTCTAGTGTATGACTATATACCCATGATTTTTTTTTCTGTACTGTTGAGTCTCAGATTTTTATCGTCTGAAAGATTTCCAATTGCTCCACTTCCTAACGAATACTTCATATTACAAGATCTAAATTTTGGCCATTCTGGAATAGTGATACTGCATTATGATGTAATTTGAAGTTTTCTGATACATAACAAAGTTGAACACCTTTTCATACATTTATTGGCCATTTTTGTTTTATCCTTCATGATAAGCCTGATCAGGACTTTG